>NW_009646196.1:0-122022 GCF_000001405.40 Homo sapiens
CATCTTTTCCCTATGGAGGGGACTGTGGTATTAGAGTAGAAAGACTAAGGACTTTGATATTCAAATCCATCTTACGTGAAAAGCCGGTATATATGAACCATTTGGTGAAGTGTTAGTTTCATCCGTTCATTTACCAAAAAAAGACCAATACATTGGGAAGACAAAAAGGAGAAGCTGATCAAAAAGGAGTATTTAATTGTTTAGCTAATATTCTTAAGAGTCACTCCAAAACCATCCACTGCAAGTAAGAGTCCACTTCAGGAATTCTCATAGCCTTTTTACCCCTAAGCATGAACTTTTTAAATAGTCAAGTGCATACACTTATTAACCTTCTTGACAACCCTAGCGGTGGGTACTAATTATTATTAACACCTTTTATTAGAAAAAAAACCCTGATGCTTAGGGAGGCTAAGTAATTTGTCTGATCCTCAATTTGAACCTAGGCAGCCTCCCTTGTTAACCAACCAGTAGGATGTGATTCCTTTTGCTATACATCTCCTCTGGGCAAGTCAGAGTAAAAGCAAAAAGTAAATATACTGATGCTCTTCAGCTGAGGAGAAAGATACTCTTCGCTCTACAGCTTCCAACTGCTTACATTTGAATGACTTTGCCACAATGACCCAGACTGAATGGAGGAAAAAAGAGTGACTGAATCTAAAACCCTAAAGCTGGAACACATTTCAGGTAACAATGTATGTAAACTGCCACCCCTCCCCGCCCAGATTCTTTTAAAGTCTGAAGCATCTTGGCTCAATTGCTCACATTTAGGCAAGCCAGGCAAACTTGAGTTGTCATTTCCCATCATGTACTGAAAGAATGGTCACAGTTACAAAAGTCTATCATTAACCTCTTTCTTCATGTCTTCTAAGCAATGCCTGACTTGATTATTAAAACAAACCATGATGGCGGGGCACGGTGGCTCATGCCTGTAATCCCAGCACTTTGGGAGGCTTTACTGTTAACCTTTTCCTCATCTTTCTAAGCAAAAGTGTGTGTGAGGGGATGGTGGTGAGGGGCATACCTGCACTGATGATTAGACTTATTATGCTGTGAACCATTTCCTAGGGAGGGTAAAACCCAGACATTTAGCTTTTTCATACAAACATGCAACCAATATCCAGTTTATCAATCTGAGATTTAATACAATAAGCCATTTGTTCATACAGAAATATTAAATGGTTTTTAACCATTTTTTTCTTTTTATTTTACCATCATCCTTTCCTTAATACGATACATAGTTTTGTACAAACTATGCATTCATGTTGGCTAGTTAAGACAGTTTATAGATTTGGGTATAACATGGTAATATGATATGATTTATGTTACCATGATCTGCAGTTGTTCAGCCTCTCAGTTTCTTGAAGACTTTTCCTGCTTTGACTTAGGAGCCTATTTCAGAGCGTGACCCCTGAACAGCCCCGTGCCTTTTCAGGCACTGCAACTACCTACGAACTGTCTATATTCTCTCTGTGTTATAGAGAAAAAGAAAAGATAAGCAGGTGCTTTATGCGTACATCTACTTTCCCAAAGCAGCCACTGAAACCATGTTAACTGAAATAAAACTTCAAATGCAGTCAATCTTCAAATGGAGTAAAGGACAACAGACTAGATCAGAAAGCCCAGTTGCTTCCAGTGTTGACCTGCATCACAGAGATGATAAGCTGATTGTTAATAAAGAGAGACTCAGAGTAGGCCTATGTTGAGCTTTAGTGTGGGCTCTGTTACCAAAATTGATTCTGAATAAATCCCTTAAGCCTATATATTCAGCGGCAAAATGTCAGGGTTGTACGGGTAATAAAACATTTAGTTCCAGCTTTGAGCCGGTTATAGGCATACCTTAAAGATACTATAGGTGCAGTTCAAGACCATGGCAATAAAGCAAGTCACACATCTTTTTTTAGTTTCTCATTGTATATGAGTTATGTTTACACTGTATCCGGTAGTCTTTTTTTTTTTTTTTTTTTTTTTTTGAGACGGAGTCTTGCTCTGTTGCCAGGCTGGAGTGCACTGGCGCGATCTCAGCTCACTGAAACCTCCACCTCCTGGGTTCAAGCGATTCTCCTGCCTCAGCCTCCCGAGTAGCTGGGACTACAGGCGTCCACTACCACACCCGGCTAATTTTTATATTTTTAGTAGAGCTGAGGTTTCACCATGTTGGTCGGGCTGGTCTTGAACTCCTGATCTCAAGTGATCTGCCCACCTCAGCCTCCCAAAGTGTTGGGATTACAGGCCTGAGCCACTGTGCCCAGCATGTGGTACTAACTTTTGCTTCTGAATACAGCAACTTCAGAACCCTTGTGATAAGTGGTGGTTAATCTGCATCACAAAACCCTCACTCCACTAACAAGATTCAACTATTGAACAGAGATTAAACGGAAAGTGCTATGTGGATATGACTTCAACAATAAAGATGAGGAAAAAGTTATTTATACTTGCTTTACTTTTATTTTTTCAGATTTCCTTTACTTACATTCCTTATTCCCTCACCAACAGTAATCCTCATTTTTATAGAAGGTAAGAGAGAAGAAGTACGCAGAGGTTACAGACTTGGGTCCAAAGAAAATTACAGAGTCCAAACTGAGGCCAAGCCTGCCAATACTCTCAGCAGCAGTTTTCTCCTCTAACACTCTTCCTCTATCTGCCATGATGCCCAGGCATACAAAGGGAGTTTTTCATTGTTTCCTTAAGGTTAACTGCTCTGGATGCTCTCAGTTCAAATAAGATGGTTTTAAAATTCCCCTCCTCCTTGCCTTACAGCAAAGAAGAGGAAAGGAGAAATTCAAATGAAAATAAATCATATACACAAATATCAAGGTTCAAAAGCTGGAGGATTTAATTCAATCAATTTAGCAAGGCCCAAAATGAAACCTGGTAATGAAAATGAAGACACAGCAATATTTTCCTCAAGAAAATAGACATTTGGGAGAAGAAATGTTTTCTTAAAAAATGTTTATTTGGAAAAGTCAGCCTCTTACACAAGGTTTTGTATCTATACTTTTACTCTGTCAATTACAGTGGTATTTTAAATGCATTGAATATAATTCATTGAATGTCTGTATCTTTCTGCCTCGATTTAAGTGATATTAGGTTAAAAAAATATTTACAGTTTTCATTCTGGTCCACCTTCCCTCCTTATCCTTATACTGAATCCATTTCTCTACTTTTCAGGTAAGTGAAAGGGGTCACAAAATTTTTAGGTTTGTGTGGAGGGTAAAAATGCATCCAGCAATTCTAAGCACAACAATTTTCTGTAAGGCCTTCTCTGAAAAAAGAGAAGGAATTACTTATTAAAACTAAGCACACTTAGCAACTTCTTTCCCAATCCTATCTTTATTCGTTTGCCTGGTGCCAAATTTTTCTGGCCCTTTTTAATTTGCAAACCTTAAAAAAAAAAAAACAAAAAAACAAAAACACCAAACACACACATATCTCACACATAGCACTAAGCTAGAAGCAGATATAAATGGGACCACTGTGAATCAAAGGGGAAAAATTCCAGGAAAAAAAAATTCCAATAGCTTCACAGTTTAACTGAGGTTTTGGAAAAACTTAAGTGAATTCAGCTGATGTTTGAAATATCTGTCTACATTTAATTAGATGTGTTGTATTTACCAAGGAGGCACAAATATGTAGTTCTGTAGATTTTAATACTAACTTTTCCAGTAAGAAAAATAATACCAGGTGATTTCAAAAAGGGCAGTGATCTATAAACACTCAAAATGCATCTTTGAACAGGGGAGCAGAAATAGCTAATTTAATGAAAACAAACCTTAAGCACTTTACTTGGCTTCTAATAAGCATCCCAAGAAAAGGTACCTGAGAGGGGTTGACAAGTACACTGTGTCTAGAACAGCCAAGATGTTGCCAAAGTTTTATGCTTTGAATTTCCTAAATATATAGCTAGCAGAAACATATGCCAGAAATCTACTGATGCTAGGAAAATATTTTTGTCAGCATTTTGTAAAATCTCTAACTTTCAACCAATATTTCTGTTCATAAATCTTCCAGTGAAAATGTCTGAAATATATTACATGTAACAATGAAGCAAGATTAATTTTAAATTTTAGATTTGCCTCAAACAAGTTAGTTGTTATTTTTCCTTTTAACACAACACTCGAAATAGATGAATTCAGCAAAAATGGTTTAAGAAGTTAAGGCTCTCTAGAGTTCTAAAGACTAAAACTTAAGGCACATATTATAATCTTTATGACACTATTAAAAGCTAAGATTAAAACAAAACAAAACAGAACCTACTTCTTTCCCCCATCCTTTGCTACCAATCATTCCCTCCTCAAATTCAGGCTATTGGTAAGGAGTCAAACAAAAATCCCATCAATGAACAACTGGTATGATTTCCACACAAATGTCTACTATTTGCATTGAGCACCACTGGTAGATTACAGGCCAGTAGAATATTTTCAGATATCCTGGGTCATGAACTGCTCAATTTACCCTTCAGCCCCATGGATTCAGACTGGACTTTCCTCCTCCTTGGGCCCTCCATCTGTGTCTTTCTGGTCCGGAGATTCTGCTGCTTTGGTAACTTCATTTGGCTTCCCAGCAACATCTATACTGGTCTCTTCCTCTTTACTTTCCTTTTTCTGCTCGTTTGCTTTCTGTTCTTTTGCCAAAAGTCGATAATTGATGCCCATGCCAATGAAGAGATAGATACCTGAAATAATTAGGACGACGCCACATGCCCAGTATGTGTATTTGTAGTCTCCATACATGTCATTGAGCCGACCTAAATATGTAAAACAACACAAACAGTTGTTTCTAAGAGTAAACAGTTTTTTTTTCCCCCAAGCAAAGCTTAAGGATCCATTCAGAAAGATGTCAATCCAATCTTTAAAGAGTCCCAAAATGATGAATTAGTATAAGGAATTGCTGAAAATTAGCTGATCCTCTGTTTATAATGCATCATGGATTTTAAGTGGCCTTTGCATATTCTGTTATTTTTAGTAACTTGAAAATAGTTAACTCTTGGCAAACTGGAAATGGAAGAGACGTAGTGATCACCTAGAGTCAATTCTCTTAATACACTATAGAAATAAGTGTTGCTAAAAGAGGCTTGGGAGTCTTGTCCAAGGCCATAGTGCTGTCCCATTTACCCAGGCCAATGCTCTTTCTCTCTCAGCATTTCCCAAAGAGTATTCCTGTAAACACTTGTCCAGTGCTAAAAATTTAAAAGCAATATCTTACACCCATTCTAAGTGCTTAATCTTTATAACAGGCAGATTCTATTATCATCCTCACTGGACAGATTTAAAAACTAAATTACAGAGATGTTAGCTAATTTGTCCATGGTCACAAAACTAATAAGTGAAATGACTTGGCTTTAAACCTAGAAAGTCTGACTCGGAAGTCTGCACCCTTAAGCATGTGCTACAAGGATACTGCTTTAATGTTTCAAAAGTCAAATGAATTGATAAATGGCATATTATTTTCTCATAAAGGCTTTGTGAAGTCTGGTAGTAAAGAACCCTATTTAATTTGATGTTTACAAATTTTATTTTGGTCATGTAACTTTCATTACTGTAAAATTTATTAGCATCTCATTGAACTGGTATCTCTGGGAAAATTCTACTCTATGCTTAAACAGGACTTAATACAACCAATTTAAATATGATTCCATATGGCTTTCTAACTCAGGGCATCATTCATTCAACAATATTTATTGAGCCTTTATCATATACCAGGCACTGGCTCAGCTAAGCCCTGAGGATAAGGGTGAACAGAGGATCCACAGTTCAGTGGACAAGAGATGTTAATCAAGTAACTACACAAACTGTGACAAGTACTACCAGGAGAGTTTGAAAGAAGTGGGGTCAAGAAAGCTTTCCTTAAAGTGTCAACTTAGCTGGGATTTGCAGGATAGGAATT
Organism: Homo sapiens; assembly: GCF_000001405.40. NCBI lineage: Eukaryota > Metazoa > Chordata > Mammalia > Primates > Hominidae > Homo > Homo sapiens. The sequence continues at coordinate 5,884 of NW_009646196.1, forward strand.
ATCTAGGAGAAAGGAGATGGGAATTAGATCCAGGCAGAGAACTGTAGTGCAAAGGCGCAATGGTAGGAGAGAGCATGGTGTGTGAGGGGAAAGAAGGGCCAGGTTGCTGGGGCACAGAGAGCAGGAGGCCAGTGGTAGAAATGAGGCTGGAAGGACAGCTGGGGCCAGCCCATGCAGTGCCTTGCAAGCCACATTAGGGAATTTGCTTTTCACCCTGAAAGTAATGGGAAGCAACTGGAGAGTTTTAAGAAATCTTGAAGAGTTCTGAACTGGAGACTTCAAGGAGACTGAAGAACAGCTAGAACTGATACAGGTAGACCAGTTAGGAGGTTACAGTTAGGAGCAGCCCAAACAGGAGACAGGAGCTTTGGATAAGGGTAGTAGTTGTGATGGAGAAAAATGGGCAGATGAGAACAAGATTTAGAGCATAAAAACTCATAGAACTTAGTAACTCACTGGGTATGAGATGGAAGAAGACAGTGATCTCAAAAGGCAGCTATGGATCTTCTGTTATATACTCACTCACTCCCCAAATCAAAGTTCCTAAAGTATGAGTCACATCCAGAAGAAGGGTCAAATTATTTTTTCACTATGTGTTATGTATTGAGCTATTAATTTGAAAGATAAAGTATTCAATAACCTTCAGGAATAGTTCCCAAGTTGTAATTAATTTTCTAGCTGTATGATTTTAGCCAAGTTATTTCACCTTTTGAAGCCTCTGTTCACTTACAAAATGGGGACTTAAAACGGTCCTACCTCATATGGACTTGTGAGATACAACAGGAGATACAAAATGATAAGGACAGTCTCTGGTACACTGTGAGCTTACATGGTAGCTATTATTATACTACTGCTACTGAAATAAACTTTTTTTTTTTTTTTTTGCTTTTTGTGTGTTTTTAAAAAATTTATGGATCAGGCATGGTGGCTCATGCCTGTAATCCCAGCACTTTGGGAGGCCAAGGCGGGTGGACCACCTGAGGTTAGGAGTTCAAGACGAGCCTGGCCAACATGGTGAAACCGTCTCTACTAAAAATACAAAAATTAGCTGGGCATGGTGGTGGGCGCCTGTAATCACAGCTACTTGGGAGGCTGAGGCAGGAGAATTGCTTGAACCCAGGAGGCAGAGGTTGCAGTGAGCCGAGATCGCGCCATTGCACTCCAGCCTGGGCAACAAGACCAAGACTGTCTTAAAAAAAAAAAAAAAAAAAAAAAAAACTTATGTGAAATATACTTCATTTTTAAAATGAAATAATCACTAGCGCTTTAAAGATTGGGTTGTTTTTCTACATGCTTTTCTACACTAAGCACATCAGTTTTGCGATCAGAAAAAAACATATTTTAGGCCAGGCACAGTGGCTCACACCTGTTACCCAGCACTTTGGGAGGCTGAGACAAGTGGATCGTTTGAGGTCAGGAGTTAGAGACCAGCCTGGCCAACATGGCGAAACCCTGTCTCTATTAAAGATATAAAAATTGGCCAGGCATGGTGGCATGCATCTGTAATCCCAGCTACCGGGAGGCTGAGGCAGGGGAATCGCTTGAACCTGGGAGGCGGAGGTTGCAGTGAGCTGAGATGGTGCCACTGCACTCCAGCCTGGGCAACAGAGCAAGACTCCATCTCAAAAAAAAAGAAAAAACACTGACATTTGTAACAATATTTGATCCCCCTTTTGCCTTGATGGTTCCATTTAATTAGATTCTATATTTGAGCAATTATGCTGTGCCAAGCATTGTCCCAGCATCAAGGGTACATAAATGAGAAAGATTTATTCTTACCCAAATAGCTCACTAATGTTTGCTTTCTGTCAGCATTCCCATCTTACATGCTTGTTTTGTAATAGACCCACATTAGTAGGGAGATATACTATACCTAAAAGTGGTGGCCCCAGGAGGACAGGACAGCATTCCACAATGGTCACCAATCCCACAGCGCTGGAGAACCTCTGGGGTCCAACAAGGTCCATCAATGTTTCAAACAATACGGAGCTGAGCCACCCGAAGGCAAATCCAAAGAATCCCGCATAGACACAGAATCCAACATAGGTAGTGGATAAAGGTGCTAGCATATGACACACTCCATTTGCAACAACGGAAGCCGCAAAGAAATACTGAATTCGAGGTCTTATTGGCTTTGTGTTGGCTACAAGTCCCATAGATGGTCGGGCTACCATGTCAACAAAAGCCAGAATGGAAAGAAGGAAGGCAGACTTCTCACTAGAATAATGCTGACTCTTCCCATAACTACTAAGAAACACCAAAGGTGCAAAGAGTCCAAAAAACATGATCACATTTCCAGAGAGGTATAGCAAAAAGCCTCTGTGGGTGAATAGGGTTAAGTCCAGGAACTGATTAATTGTTTGGAAGACTGATCGTTTCTCTTGTTTAGGGTGTCTTCCAATAAGATCTGTATTTGCATCATGCAGATCTTTTTTCACACCAGATTTTCCAGCTTTCTCAAGGGATGCTTTAGACTTATCTTTCCCTGCCTTGGTTGGCTTGGGCCCGATTGGTCGCATGAGGGCTCCAGCAACACAGCAGTTTAGTAGCAAGCCCCCAAGAATTAGAAAGCTTCCTCTCCATCCAAAGATACCGAAGAAAACCTGATTGAGGGGGGCCAGAGTACAGAGGAACACAGGGCTGCCTGCCATGGCCAGTCCGTTGGCCAATGGTCGCCTCTTGTAGAAATACTTGCCAATCATGGTCAGAGCTGGATTCAAGTTGAAGGCAAGCCCAAGACCTGTGAAGACAATAAATAAATAAATAAATAAATAAATAAATAAATAAATAAATAAATAATAAGAGGTATAAATAATGGAAGGAATAGGATATAAATCCTCATTATTAGAGGACATGTTATGTAGTGGTTTAAAGTATGACTTCTAAAACAGACATGGGTTCAAATCTCAGTATCAGTGCTTACTGGTTGCATAATCTCAGACATGTATACCCTCCTATGACTGCTTCCTAATATGTAAAACGGGCACAGGTCACTGTTGTGAGGAAGAAAAGATTTGTTAAGCACTTAGTACCCAGTGCCCAGTATGTAGTAAGCACTTAATACATGTTATTTTTATTATTGTTGTTTTTATTATTTGAAGGTGAATAACTATTTTGTCTAATCTAACAAAATCACCGGAAGGATTATTATAACCATATAAGATCATTAAGTCGACAGTAGAGATAAAACAAATTTACACTAGAAAATGCATAAGGCCAGCTGCAGTGGCTCATGTCTATAATCCCAGTGCTTTGGGAAGCCAAGGCGGCAGGATTGATTAAGGCCAGGCATTCAAGACCACCTTGGGCAGCATAGCAAGACCTGTCTCTACAAAAAGTAATTCGAAAATTAGTCAGGTATGGTAGTGTGTGCCTGCAGTCCTAGCTACTTGGGCGGCTAAAGCTGGAGTATCACTTGAGCCTAGAAGTTTGAGGCTATGGTGAGCTATGATCACACAACTGCACTCCATCCTGGGCTACAGAGAAAGAACCTGTCTCAAAAACCCAAAAACGAAAGAAATAACATATAGTACAAAATGATCCCTTCCACTATAGCACCAAAACTTAAAAACAGGCCAATTCCTAAGACTCCAATTGTGAAACTTTCCTGAGAGATCAGAGAATTTAAAATACACACAAAGTTTTGGGAAAATAAAACACAACATTGCTAAGATGCCAAGGCTCCTGAAATGAATGTACTAATTTATTTTATTTATTTATTTATTTATTTATTTATTTATTTTTGAGACAGAGTCTTGCTCTGCCGCCCAGGCTGGAGTGCAGTGGCGCGATCTCGGCTCACTGCAACCTCCACCTCCCGGGTTCACACCATTCTCCTGGCTCAGCCTCCCGAGTAGCTGGGACTACAGGCGCCCGCCACCATGCCCGGCTCATTTTTTTTTTGTATTTTTAGTAGAGACGGGGTTTCACCGTATTAGCCAGGATGGTCTCGATCTCCTGACCTCGTGATCCACCTGGCTCGGCCTCCCAAAGTGCTGGGATTACAGGCGTAAGCCACCGCACCCAGCCTGAATGTACTAATTTAATGCAATCCAATGAAAATGTCAGTGAATTTTACTTTCGGATTAAGGTAAATGATTCTAAAGGATACTTACAGAACAAATACAGAGCTACTAGGAAATTTTTGATGGTGCAGAGGAAAAAGTGGGACCAACCAGAACAAATTATTTAAATGGCTTTACAAAAGCTACAGTCATTAGAGCAGTGTGGCCCTGTTTCAGGAACCAGTAAAAATTCGTCAGTGAAAGTGCAGAAACACTATAGAAAGTCCAGGAACAGAGTTGAAATACATGGAAACATTTAATGTAAGATAAAGTAGCATTTTAAATTAATAGAGAGAAATTATTCAATAAATAGTGCTAGCAAAAGTAATATTCAAAGAACTTCCTCCCTGACCTCATAGCAAACCATTCTTACATTTGTTAATAAGCTCTACGGTCTATGATCCCTTACATTTTCACAAATCTGGTTCCCTGTTGTTATGCAGGTCTCTACTTAAAGTTGATTCTTCAGTGAGCCCTGACCTTCATTGCTTGCCCAGTTCTTCCCTGTCACAACACTCAGTTAAAGGCTTTATATAGCATTTATCACTACCTGATATTTTTCTTATTTATTAATTTATTTATGAGTTGTACTGTTTGTCTCCTCCTATTAAAGAGTGTAACTGCCTGACTTGTTGCTCTATCTCTACAGCACCTAAAATGGTTCCTAACACACATACAGTTGTTGCTCAATAAATATTTCATAAATAAATTAATAAAAGAGCAAATGAACCAACTGATTAACCATGTGGGAACAAATAGAGTTATATTTCTTTTTTCTCATCTTATGTCAGATGTTTTCATCCATTTGGAATTTTTAAATGTAGCTGGGCGTGGTCGCTCATGCCTGTAATTCCAGCATGTTGGGAGGCCGAGGCAGGCGGATCACCTGAGGTCAGGAGTTTGAGACCAGCCTGGCCAACATGGTGAAACCCCGTCTCTATTAAAAACACAAAAATTGGCCAGGTGCAGTGGCTCACGCCTGTAATCCCAGCACTTTGGGAGGCAGCGGCAGGCGGACCATGAGGTCAGGAGTTTGAGACCAGCCTGCACAACATAGTGAAACCCCGTCTCTACTAAAAATACAAAAATTAGCTGGGTGTGGTAGCGGGCGCCTGTAATCCCGGCTACTTGGGAGGCTGCGGCAGGAGAATCGCTTGAACCCAGGAGGCGGAGATTGCAGTGAGCCGAGATCATGCCATAGCAGTCTAGCCTGGCAGTGAGAGTGAAACTGTGTCTCAAAAAAACAAAACAAAACAAAAGAACAACAACAAAACCAGATTTTTAAAATATAAAAACTAAAGTGCAGTAAACAGAAGTGGACAAATATTTTCATAATCTTGGAGTAGAAAACAACTTTCTCAGGATGACATACAAGATGGAAACCATAAAATACGTTTTGAATACATAAAAATTTATATGTTTAATAAGGGAAAAACATTGGAAAAGACTGAATTTTAAAAATACTTTTTAACAAAATTCAACATCAGAAGGCCGGGCAAGGTGATTCACGCCTGTAATCCCAGCACTTTGGGAGGCCGAGGCAGGCGGATCACAAGGTCAGGAGATCGACTATACTGACTAATGCGATGAAACCCCGTCTCTACTAAAAAAAAATACAAAAAATTAGCCAGGCGTGGTGGCGGGCACCTGCAGTTCCAGGTACTCAGGAGGCTGAGGCAGGAGAATGACGTGAATCCAGGAGGCGGAGCTTGCAGTGAGCTGAGATCGCGCCACTGCACTCCAGCCTGGGAGACAGAGCGAGACTCCGTCTCAAAAAAAAAAAAAAAAGAAAAGAAAATAAGGATTAAAACCAAGAGATACTGTTCTCACGTGTTAAACTGGCAATTATTTTTTTAAAAAAGGCAATATCCCATTGTTGACAAAAGGGATAATCTTGGAATCTCTGATATATTGTGGTGGGATAATAAGTGAGTATAACTTTTTTGGAGGACAATTTAGCATACATATATTAAAACAAACACACAGCAGTTCCCTTTCTACAAATTTATACGAAGAATATATTCATGTTCACAAAACTTTCAACTTAATACTGACAAAAATCTGGTTATAAAATATTAGACATAATTTGATCCTTTTTTGCTCAAAAAAAGGTGTATCTGTGCATAGAAAAACACATGGAAGGATATACATAGAAATGTTAATGATATTCTTTGGATTGTGAGGTTATGGGTAACTTTTATTCATTATGCTCATCAACAGTTCATTATCTTAATTTAGTGATTTTTAAAATGGGGGGAGGAATTATGAAGCGTATCCTCTACCCCTCAGAAATGTTATGTGGACATTCTATCAAATTGCCACTCTCGCACCAAGTTGCCACACACATTGTATCTACCACTACTGGCTATTCTTAGGACAAGGAATGCAATCATTCTTTCAATTCATTCACTCATTCGACAAACAATAAATATCCATTATATAATGGCAATTTCTTTAAAAGTTTGCTTTTCTAGTACTTTTATCTCTAGTTCTTCAAAATGATAATCAAGTCATTTCTATAAGAAAAGAATTTCACTCCAGAGATCTGAAAGATGAATGCAGGTAAATACAAAATAGCCAGCCATAAACTAATGCTTCCAAATGAATCAGTAGTAACTCACCTCCAATGACTCCAATACAGACGTATAGTTGCTGTACGGTGTTACAGAAAGAAGCTGCAATCAAGCCACAGCCTGACAAGCAGCCACCAACAATCATGACTATACGACTTCCATATTTATTCACCAGGATACTGCTGATAGGACCTAAAAGACAACCAAAAATGTAGTAATATAAAGGAAACTGCTCCCTCACATCTACACAAGTATGAATGACAATGAATGACAAATCCTCCAAAATAAACAAGCAGCAATGATAAGAATATTGTTTTCTATAATTACTTCTGAGTCACATGTGTACTAAAATAAAGATGTTAGAAAACATAATTAATTGTGCAGGTTCTAAATCTAAAAATACTGGATGGAATTTTACTAAAATACAAAAGACCTGAAGTTATCCTTAATCTTTCTCTTTTATGGCAGGGCAGGCTGAAAACACCTTGGTAATGGATGTTCACAAGGTTCTTGATGTATCTAGGATACGATTAACATGTATGTAGAAAGTGGCTGGGCGCAGTAGCTCACGCCTGTAATCCCAGCACTTTGGGAGGCTGGGGCAGGTGGATCACCCGAGGTCAGGAGTTCAAGACCAGCCTGGCCAACATGGCGAAACCCCGTCTCGACTAAAAATACAAAAATTAGCCAGGCGTGGTTGGCGCGTGCCTGTAATCCCAGCTACTCCGAAGGCTGAGGCAGGAGAATGGCTTGAACCTGGGAGGTGGAGGTTGCAGTGAGCCAAGATTGCGCCACTGCACTCCAGCCTGGGCAATAGAGTGAGACTCTGTCTCAAAAAACAAACAAACAAAACAAAAACATGTTAGTAGAAAGTATGTTCTGTTTTAAATTTCAGACACACGCAGTGATAGGAGACGTATAAATGCATCTAGATTTTAGAGTACTTGTATATTATCATAAATGTGGTTTGTGGTGTTGTGTTTTTTTTGAGACGGAGTCTCACTCTGTCACCCAAGCTGGAGTGCAGTGGCCTGATCTCGCTTACTGTAAGCTCCGCCTCCCGGGTTCATGCCATTCTCTTGCCTCAGCCTCCTGAAAGACAGGGTGGGCGTGGTGGCTCATGCCTGTAATCCCAGCACTTTGGGAGGTGGATGGATCACCTGAGGTCAGGAGTTCAAGACCAGCCTGACCGACATGGAGAAACCTCATCACTACTAAAAATACAAAATTAGCTGGGCGTGGTGGCGCATGCCTGTAATCCCAGCTACTCAGGAGGCTGAGGCAGAAGAATCATTTGAATCCAGGAGGTGGAGGTTGCGGTGAGCCATTGCACTCCAGCCTGGGCAACAAGAGTGAAACTCCGTCTCAAAAACAAACAAACAGCAATCCCTAAAGCCACGCGGCCGCCAACTCCAGGGAGCTGATGCTTCCAACCACTGCACGTTGCTCCCGGGCTGTCGCAGTCTCCTGTTGCCGCCATCATGTCCCGGCCCTCCACGGTGTTGGGTGCCATGGAGATGGGGCGCCGTAGTCACCCGCGCCTTCCTGGAGCACGGCCACACCAAGATAGACACGGCCTTCGTGTACAGCGACAGCCAGTCCAAGACCATCCTGGGTGGCCTGAAAATTGATACCAAGGCCAATCCATTGTTTGGGAACTCCCTGAAACCTGACAGTCTCCGGTTCCAGCTGGAGACGTCACTGAAGTGGCTGCAGTGTCCCCGAGTGGACCTCTTCTACCTGCTCAGGCCAGACCACAGCACCCCGGTGGAAGAGACACTGAGTGCCTGCCACCAGCTGCACCAGGAGGGCAAGTTCCTGGATCTTGGCCTCTCCAACTATGCCACCTGGGAAGTGGCCAAGATCTGTAACCTCTGCAAGAGCAATGGCTGGACCCTGCCCACTGTGTACCAGGGCATGTACAACGCCACCACCCAGCAGGTGAAAACGGAGCTCTTCCCCTGCCTCAGGCACTCTGGACTGAGGTTCTATGCCTTCAACCCTCTGGCTGGGGACCTGCTGACTGGCAAGTACAAGTATAAGGACAAGGACAGGAAACAGCCCATGGGCCGCTTCTTTGGGACTCAATGGGCAGAGATCTACAGGAATCGCTTCTGGAAGAAGCACCACTTCGATGGCATTGCCCTGGTAGAGAAGGCCCTGCAGGCCGCGTATGGCGCCAGCGCCCCCAGCATGACCTCGGCTGCCCTCTGGTGGATGTACCACCACTCACAGCTGCAGGGTGCCCACGGGGACGCAGTCATCCTGGGCATGTCCAGCTTGGAGCAGTTGGAGCAGAACTTGGCAGCGGCAGAGGAAGGGCCCCTGGAGCCAGATGTTGTGGAGGCCTTTAATCAAGCCTGGCAATTGGTTGCTCACGAATGTCCCAACTACTTCCACTAGGCCCATCGTTTCTCAGGTTGCCCAAGGCTCTTCTGTAACCTCTTTTGTTTCTCACACTTTCTTTAATTTAGAAGTGCCTCAGTAAATTCTTAGGGATGGAAGTATTTGGACAAAAACCTAACAGTAAAGTCACCACCAAATGAAGAATGAAACCTCCTGGGGTGCTGTGTGTTAGTCTGTTTGCATTGCTATAAAAGAATACCTGAGACCGGGTCATTTATAAAGAAAACAAACAAACAAAAACAACAACAACAAAAAAAAGAAAAAAGACAAAAATGCATGATCATTTTTTCCAAGTTTAAGTAGTGTTGCAATTAGGTAATCTTGATTAAAAAAGAAAAAGTTCCTAGTTACATCCAAATTCAGGTACTAAACCAAATATATCTTTCAGGGGCCAGGTATGGTGGTGGTGCATGCCTGTAGTCCCAGCTACTCGGGAGGCTGAGGCGAAGAATCACTTGAACCTGGGAGGCAGAAGTTGCAGTGAGATGAGATCGTGCCTGGGCAACAGAGTGAGGTTCTGTCTCAAAAAACAAACAAACAAAAAAAACCCACCCAAATATATCCTTCAGAATTACTTGGTTCCATGCCTATATTATTAAGTTTCATGGTAGTACAATTGTGAAAAAAAATGCTTGCAGGATAAGATTAAATCAGATAACAGTCAACACAACGTGGGTGTAACAACTCAAGAGAATAGGAAATAGTATTATCCAAGAAAACCAGACATTTCCTCAGCTAACTATATGCATATAAAAATCAGCATTTCTAGTATGTGAGAAAAGGAACCAAATGAAAAGCATTATAAGAAACAAGAAAATATTTTATGCATTTCATGTATCAGTTTTTTGCGACCAGTCTCCCTCTGTGGCTGGAGTGCAGTAGCGCAATCACAGCTCACTGCAGACCCAACCTCCTAGGCTCAAGTGATACTGCCACCACTGCCTCCAAAAGTGCTGGGATTATAGGTGTAAGCCACCATGACTGACCTATGTATCAGTTTTTGAGAAGAGGAATCAAATGTCAAGTGGCCTTTCTTTTTTTTTTAAATTTGAGACAAGGTGTTGTTCTGTCACCCAGGCTGGAATGCAGTGGTACTATCAGGGTTCACTGCAGCCTCGACCTCCTGGGCTCATTCAATCTGCCTGCCCAGCCTCCCGAGTAGCTGGGACTTCAGGTGCATGCCACCGTGCCGGGCTAATTTTTGTATTTTTTGTAGAGACAGGGTTTTACCATGTTGCCCAGGTTGGTCTTGTAATCCCGGACTCAAGTGATCCACCTACCTAGGCCTCCCAAAGTGCTGGGATTATAGGTGTGAGCCACCGTGCCTGGCCTTCTCTTCTTACTTGCTATAAATAGGTATAATCTGTAATTTGCCTTTTCCAAATTTCAAAATCTTAATTACAAGAAAGTCTTATCCAAACATAGAGTCTATTTCTAAAAACACATATTGAATGTACATATATTCAGAATATACTAATGATCACATATTGGCATATTCTATTTCCATAAATACTATGAAAAATACTTCAGTTACTTATAGTCTAGTTTTACTATTCAGAGTTGCGGTACAGTATACTAACATTAAAAGGATAGGCTGTAGCCCCAGGGCACCCTGTTTTAAGTTTTGGTTTCACCATATTCTTGTCTGTTTCTCAGAGGTTATTATTAAACTACTTTATAGGATTGTTGAAAGAATAAAAAATTAACTAATATATGTGAGGTGTTTAGTTGGTCCTCAATAAATACTGGCAGTGATCATGATACTGGTGCACATGCTTATTTATGCTTTCACATGACACAGACAGAAGGTGCTCTCTTTCCATCTCCATCCATATAGATATAGATGTTATGTATGTATATATACATAAGATAAGCATGTTAAGAAGGAATTAAAGCTTTTGATTATTCATGTGTTTCATAGGACCAAGTCTCTCTAAGGTGCTACATCAAGAACTGGCCGTTGCCAGGCGCAGTGGCTCACGCCTGTAATCCCAGCACTTTGGGATGCTGAGGCAGGTGGATTACCTGAGGTCAGGAGAGTTCAAGACCAACCTGGCCAACACCATCTCTACTAAAAATACAAAAACTAGCTGGGCGTAGTGGTACACACCTGCAGTCCCAGCTACTCAGGAGGCTGAGGCAGGAGAATTGCTTGAACCCAGGAGGCAGAAGTTTCAGTGAGCAGAGATCATGCCACTGTAGTCATAAGACTTTGTACAGTTAGAATTACAAAGATAAATACCAGGCTAGGCATGGTGGCTCATGCCTGTAATCCCAGCACTTTGGGAGGCCAAGGTGGGCAGATTGTTTGAGCCTAGGAGTTCAAGACCAGCCTTGGCAACATTGCAACAACCCATCTCTACAAAAAATACAAAAATTAGCCGAGTGTGGTGGTGCAAGCCTGTAGTCCTAGCTACTTGGCAGGGTGAAGGGGGAGGACCGATCACCTGAGGCCAGGGAGGCTGAGGCTACAGTTAGTGGTGATTGTGCCACTGCACTCCAGCCTGAGTGACAGAGTGAGAAACCCTATCTCAAAATAAATAAATAAATAAATAAATAATAAAAAAACTTAAAAAAAAAAGGATCAGCTTGGGCCATAGAGTGAGACCCCATCTCTACTTAACAAAAATAAAAAATTAGCTGAGCATAGTAGTAGGGCCACCTGCTACTGGGGAGGCTGAGGCAGGAGGATGGTTTGAGCCTCGGTGGCTGAGGCTGCAGGGAGACATGATCATGCCACTGTACTCCTGGTCAACAGTGAGACCCTGTGTCAAAAAAAAAAAAAAAAAAAATCCCACAAAACAAAGATCAGTATCACCACACTGTTGACTCTGAGGTAGAAGTTAATACTGTAGAAGTTAAAGTTTTTGAAATATTTAAAATTCCAAACCACAAGTGTTAAGGTGACCCTTGTGGAACTGATAAAATTTATACTTTCATGTTTAAAAAAAAAAGGAAAAACAAATAAACAAACCAAAAGTAGGCAGGTAAGATCTCTTCCCCGCAAAATATACTTTAACAACCATCACTGTATATCTCTGACCCAAAGCACTAAAAAAGAAAACAAAACCAACCATATCTCAAGACGTATTAGTGTTCAGATTGTGGTCCAAATGAACAAGTTAAAGGATTATCACAGTTGTAAAAGTGATGAAAACTATTAGGGGATATACTATTTAGAAACCAAACCAAACAAAACAACCCATTTAGTAAAAATTCTGCAACAAGGTTCATGATAGGCATTTTGTCTTTTAGTGTTATTTCAGGAAGGATAGGCCTAATTAGCTATCATTAAAAATAGAAAGGGGTACGGTTTATAGGCCTATTATAATACAAACTCAAAAAAATGTGCTAGTTATCTCACTAATTGAGTAAGGACAAAGAAGGAACTGTTTCCCCAAAGGAAAGTGTCATGTGCAACTAATAAAACTGACATCACTTACTTTTGATGCAAAACACAAGTGGCTTTCTCGCTCTTTGGTAGCACAGAATAGCAACATGTAAACTTCTGGTTTGTAGTCAACTTAAGAAGACACTGAACACCTGGAGTACCTCTGGGTAATGTTTATACCAATTTCTTCAAGCCATCATAGTCAAAACCTGATTAAAATCCTGGCAGAATGGAGTTCAAAGCCTACAAAATTATTGGCTCTCAGAAGCTAATGCCCAAAGTCCATTTTGATTTCTCTGAACTTATTAAAAAAAAACACTACAATTAAGCACTTAGGTTCTTTAATTTGATAGACAAAATAGGCCTATGTTCAAAATGTAAAAGGCACAAAAAGATAAACAGTGGAAACATAAGTCTTCCTAATCCTGTTCCCAGTCACCCAGTTTCTCTTTCTCCATGGCAGCCAGTTACCTGTTTCTTCTGGACGATTTAATTACAGGCTTAATGAAATTATGATTTCAACTGCTTATTCCTGTTTCACGATCATATATTACTGTCTCAAAAGGATTATAAACTTCTCAAAGGAAGGGATCAGTGTTTTCTGTCACTCACAATACCTAGCCCAGTGCTGAATATATTCATAGAACTTGACAGATATTGGTTGACTCTGGCACCACCTTAGCAGCCTAAGGCTAAGTTATTTATAGTTGAAACCAAGAATCATTACATTGGCTAGAAACAGTATTTTAGATGATGTTAAGTGAGCAACTTACTTCCAACATTTCCTTTACAATATGCCAAAAAAAACAAAAGAGAAATAAATGGTAAAATTTAAGTTTAGGGTGCAGCTGAAATGCTTTTAGGACTCATAACATCGCAAGTAATACGGAGGAGGTTTTTTCAGTTAATTCTAACATCATATAAAGATTTTACCTGAGAATCTGAACCATGCCATTCAGGCTAGTCTGATTTATTTTAATCCTCCCAACATCAATTTTTAAAAATCTATATTTATGTTTACATTTCAAGAGTCCAGCAGAGATCAACAAAAAAAATACAGCTGTGAATACATCATTTTTATAACAGTCTTTTAAACTCAATGATACATCAGTTGGAGCAAATCAAGGTCCCTCACAATTTTCTCATTTCTGTTTTGAAATACTACAGTATACTATAGCAAGAGTTGCTATTGTTATCAGGAATGAAAAATGTGACTCTAAACACCAAACTTTAAGAAATAACATTTCAAAACATCTCACTGAATAAGACTTTTTTTTTTTTTTAAAGTTACCTAATACAGACACTCTGGCTGCTTCATGAAAATTAAAAGAGCAGGCCTTAATGGGTACTTACCTCCACCATACATGACAGCCAACATTATGGAGGATATCCATGACACTTCGCTGGTGGTGGCATGGAATATACCTTCAATCTCTTTGAAGAAGACAGTAATTGATTTGGGAAATGCATAAGAGAAGCCGATGGAAATGAAAGCTCCAATTACCACTGCCCAGCCCCAGCCTCCATCTGGGGGGGTGTATCCAACTGGACCTCCAACTGCTGGTGGCATTTTAAGTGTAGATAAATTCCAAAATGCAGGTCAAATCCAAATATCTGAAAGACATAAAATTAAAATAGTATGTCAATATAAGGCACACCTATAAAACTCTTTTGTGAAATAAGAAATATAGCCAATCGTGGTGGATCATGCCTATTAGTAATCCCAGCTACTTGGGAGGTTGAGGCAGGAGGATCATTTGAGGCCAGGAGTTCAAGACAGCCCGGGCAACACAGATCCTGTGTCTAAGAAAATTTTTAAAAAATTAGCTGGGTATGGTGGAGCATGCCTATAGTCCCAGCTACTCAGGAGGCTGAGGCAGGAGGATCACTTGTACTCAGGAGTTTGAGACCACCCTGGGCAACATAAGTAGACCCCAACTTTACAAAAAAATTAAAAAATTAGCCAGACATGGTGGTGTGTGTCTGTGGTCCCAGTTACTTGGGAGGCTGAGGTGAGAGGATCACTTGAACCTGGGAGGTAGTGGCTGCAGGGAGCTGTGATTGCACCACTGCACTGCAGCCTGGGTGAAAGAGCAAGATCCTGTCTCAGTAAATACATAAATAAATTGGTAAACAAGAGACCTGATGAGATTCCAGGTTGGTCATTGCATCCATGTGCAGGGAGGATAGCATACCCCAATTCCACGGGGGAAGAGGCTCCTGTACTTGGGGACCCTTCCAGACTTTGCCCTATGTACTTCTTCATCTGGCTTTCACATGTATCCTTTAAAGTATCCTTTATAATAAACCAGCAAATATTAGTAAGCGTTTCCCTGAGTTCTGTGAGCCTTCCTAGCAAATTAATCAAACCCAAGGAGAGGGGTAGTGGTAACCCGATTTATAGCTGGTGAGTCACAAGTACAGGTGACAAGCTACTACTTATGTATGATTGGCATGTGAAGTAAGGGCCTTAGTCTTGTGCAACTGAGGCCTTAACCTGCGATCTAACTCCAGGTAGCTGAAGTCAAAATTGAATTGAATTACGGGACACCCAGTTGGTGTCTCCTACAATTGCTTGGTATATGTGGGGGAAAAAAACCCCCACACTTCTGGTTACAGTAGTGTTTTGTGATGTGCTGAGTGTTGACTGTGTAAGAGGAAAAAAAAAAGTGTTTTTCTCCTTCAGAACTTTACACCTAGCTCTCGAGTAAATGAATTTTTTTTAATGTTACTTATCCAATAGACATTATCTTCTTTTAAAGACATTATCAGAAAAAGCTTTAGAGTCATAGTATTGCCCATAATTTTTTGTAGCTTAAAGGAAAATAGCTTCTCACCACTTAAGAAATCATAATTGAAATAAATCCCTTTCAATAAATCAGTTAACATCATAATTCCTTAAATTACTTAGATAACCAAATGCCCCATTTGACTTATCTGCTTAACCTAAGATAACACATAATACATAACCTACAAACATTTTAGGTTTTTTTTTTTTTTTTTTGAGACAGAGTCTCACTCTGTCGCCCGGGCTGGAGTGCAATAGCAAGATCTTGGCTCACTACAACCTCTGCCTCCCAGGCGGTTCTCCTGCCTCAGCCTCCCGAGTAGCTGGGACTACAGGCACACGCCATCACCTTTGACTGATTTTTGTATTTTTAGTAGAGACGGGGTTTGGCCATGTTGGCCAGGCTGGTCTCGAACTCCTGACCTCAGGTGATCCACCCACCTTGGCCTCCCAAAGTGCTGGGATTACAGGCATGAGCCACCACTCCCAGCCCCAATGCTACAGGTTTTAATATAGCCTTTATAAGTTTTTTACCTTTTCCAAAATATATTCTTCCATACTCTTTTCATTCTCTTATTTATGGCTGACTTAACATACTAGGAAGTGGGTGCCTGACTCACTAGATATGTAGCAATTTACAAAAAAAAAGATAATTCTGAACACCGAAAATTTTCACTTAACAGGCTGGGGAATTATCTCAGAAAAGTTTCCTTTTATCTTAATAGCTTTGATTCAAGGTATTTTTCCGCATTATATGACAAGAAACTCCTAAACAACAGCTAGCCAATACAGTTAAAATCATAAATATATATATGATGTCAAAAGATGGTAGTTTTAGGCCAGGCGCAGTGGCTCACACCTGTAATCCCAGCACTCTGGGAGGCAGAGGTAGGTAGATCACCTGAGATCAGGAGTTCGAGACCAACCTTATCAATATGGTGAAACCCCATTTCTACTAAAAATACAAAAATTAGCCAGGCATGGTGGCATGCGACTGTAGTCCCAACTACTAGGGAGGCTCAGATAGGAGAATCCTTGAACCCGGGAGGCGGAGGTTGCAGTGAGCCGGGATCATGCCACTGCACTCCAGTCTGGGCGACAGAGTAATACTCTGTCTCAAAAAAAAAAAAAAAAAAAAAAAAGTAGTTTTAAATCAAAGATAACTCCTTTGTCTTGAATTCACTTAGTACTAATGAATAATGAATAGCATGGTTAGAAAATGTAACCTTCTGTTACATTTTCTAATAAGATTTTAATAAGGGGCAGGTGGGAGTGAGCGTTTGGTGGTAGGTTACCTGTTTTCTCATGAAGGTCTCCTTTACTTTAAGCCAACTTCCACCCTATATTACAACTTATCCTGTATGTTAGCAGGTCCATTTCAAAGTACTTCCACTCAGACTATATTACAGCAATGAACACAGGTCAGAGATGACAAGTTCACTCTTGACTACCATGTTCTTTAGTCTATAACACAAACGCTTCTTCATAATATTAGCACTCAACTCCAAAACACTGTTCCTTCCAACCCCTATGAACACTTCAAATACAATTTAGGACACTGGACATTGCGGGAGTATGATGAAAATAGCTCCATACAAGAAGTTTCCTGAAAAGCAAGGATATACTCACCACTTATACACAACATTCTACTATAGGTTCTAGCCAGTGCATGCAGGCAAGAAAAAGAAACAAAAGGCATAAAGAATGGAAAAGAAGAAATAAAATAGGCCAGGTGCAGTGGCTCACACTTATAATTCCAATGCTTTGGAAGACCAATGTAGGAGAATCGTTTGAGGACAAAAATTCAAGAACAGCCTGGACAACACAGCGAGACCCTACCTCTACATAAATTGTTTAAAAATTGGGTGTGGTGGTACACATCTGTAGTCCTAGCTACTTGGGAAGCTGAGGTGGGAGGATCACTTGAGCCCAGGAATTTGAGGTTACAGTGACCTATGATCATGCTGCTGCACTCCAGAGCAAGACCTTGTCTCGGCCAGGTGCGGTGGCTCACACCTGTAATCCCCAGCACTTTGGGAGGCTGAGGCGGGCGGATCACAAGGTAAGGAATCCAAAACCAGCCTGGCCAACATGGTGAAACCCCGTCTCTACTAAAGATACAAAAAATTAGCCAAGCATGGTGGTATGTGCTAGCTACTTGGGAGGCTGAGGCAGGAGAATCGCTTGAACCCAGGAGGCAGAGGTTGCAGTGAGCCGAGATCGCGCCATTGCACTCCAGCCTGGGTGACAAGGGGAGACTCCGTCGCAAAAAAAAAAAAAAAAAAAGGCCTGTCTCTAAAAAATAAATAATAAATAAAGTTGTTTTTATTCAGATGACAGATATGTATAAAGAAAACCCTAAGGAACATCAAATAAGTGAATTTGACTAGGTCTTAGGATACAACATCAATACACAGAAATCAATTGTATTTCTATATATTAACAATGAACAATCCAAATATGAAAACATTTTTAAATGCTATTGTAAATGGTAAACTATATAGAAATAAATCTCACAAAAGATGTATGAGATATGTACACTGAAAACTATAATACTGAGAAGTTAAAATAGATAACCTATCCTCTCGGACTGAAAGACTCAATATTTAAATCAAGCAAAGATTTCTGAAGGAACATAAAGAAACAACTATAAAAAAAGTTGGCCGGGCGCAGTGGCTCACGCCTGTAATCCCAGCACTTTGGGAGGCTGAGGCGGGAGGATCACGAGGTCAGGAGTTTGAGATCAACCTGGCTGTCTCTACTAAAAATACAAAAATTAGCTGGGTGTGGTGGCGTGTGCCTGTAGTCCCAGCTACTCGGGAGGCTGAGGCAAGAGAATCGCTCGCTTGAACCCGGGAGGCGGAGGTTGCAGTGAGCTGAGATCACGCCACTGCACTCCAGCATGGCCGACACAGCGAGACTGCGTCTCAAAAAAAAAAAAAAAAAAGTTTTAAAATTAGACTTCAAAATATATGCAAAATAATATACTCAAGAAAAGACATACCCAGAACATAAAAAGAACTTGCACAACGATAGCAAAAAGGCAAATCACCCAGCTTAAAAAAAAAGCAAAAGATCTAAACAGGTGCTTCACCAAAGATACATGAATGATAAACAAGCACATGTAAAGATGCTGAATGTCGTTGGTTATTTAAAAATGCAAATTAAAATCACAATCTAATACATACCTACTAAAAATAAGACAGATAATTCCATGACTTTGTGGGGTTATAAAGCCAATGGAACTCTCATATTGCTGATGTTACAGTCCCTTGGAACACATTTTGGCAGTTCCTTATAAAGTTATAGATATATTTAACATATGAGCCAGCCATTACAGTGTCAGGTATCACCCAGGATTTATATAAAAAATTCTCTAGCAGCTTGATGCATAATAGCCAAAAACTGAAAACAACCCAATGTCCATCAACAAATGAATGGATAAACAATGGTACAGCCATATAATAGAATACTACTCAGCAATAAAAAGGAACTACTGATGCATGCGATAACATGGATGAATTTTAAAAGCGTTCTGTTAAGTAGGAAAAAAAAGCTAGACAAAAGATTGTATTCTATATGGTCACATTTATATTAAATTGTAGAAAAGGCAAAATTCTAGCACAGGTCAAGCATTTCTCTAATCTGAAAATATGAAACCCAAAATCTGAAACTTTCTGAACACCAGCATGATGCTCAAAGAAAATACTCATTGGAACATTTCGAATTTTGGATTTTTGGATTAGGGATGTTCAACTGCTTAAGTAACTGCAAATATTCCAAAATCTGAAAAAATCTGAAATCCAGAACACATTTTATCCCAGGCATTTTAGATAAGGGATAGAAAACAGATCAGTGGCTACCAGGGGTTGGGGAGAGGAGACTGACTGCAAAGCAGTATGAGATAACTTTTAGGGTAAATGGAAATACTTTATTATCATGATGGTGACAGTTACTCATCAAAGTATACATTCAAGTTAGTAAATTTTATTATGTCAATTATACCTCAATAAAGCTGATCAAAACCAAAAGAAAGTCCAAGGACAGTGACAAGGGGAATAAAATTTGTTCTGTGGCACAGGGAGACAATACAGAAGCAAAAGGAGAGGGCAGGCAAACTTCTTTGTCTTAGTTATCTAGACGGTTAAAAGAAAGAGGAAGAAGACAAAGATGAGGATAAAGAAAAGGAGACAAGAGGAGGACAGAAGATTCTTCTGAGAATTCACAACTCAGGCCAGTGTGAGCTCATGCTTGGCAGGGAATTATCTGTAGAATATCTTTGTTGTTCTTCCAGAGATACACTATATTTGATTTTGCTAGCAAAGATTTCCCACAAAGGCCTGCCAAACATAAGCTCACAATTGTGAACACATCAAGAACCAATTAACCGTGAGCAAACGCAATGCCAATCTAACACAGTTGGATTAGACACTCAGGAACTATAGGCATAGCAATATGAATATTTAAATGACTAAAGACATAAAACAAGGCATTTAAAACATTAGAAAAAACTGTGTATTTCTCTAAAATTATGTCTTTCTCTAAAAAAGATCCATAGAAGAAGATTAATTGATTTGAAATAGAACTAGAAATGGAAAGTAAAGTTAGCCAGGCATGGTGGCTTGTGCCTGTAATCCCAACACTTTGGGAGGCCGAGGAGAGTGGATCACCTGAGGTCAGGAGTTCGAGAACAGCCTGGCCAACATGGTGAAACCCCATCTCTACTAAAAATACAAAAATTAGCCAGGCATGGTGGCACATGCCTGTAATTCCAGCTACTTGGGAGGCTGAGGCAGGAGAATCGCTTGAACCTGGGAGGTTGCAGTGAGCTGAGATTGCACTACTGTACTACAGCCTGGTGACACGGCAAGACTCCGCTTCAAAAAAAAAAGTAAAGTCAGTGAAATTAATAACACATTAACTGGAAGACTGGATGTAGCTATATACAGAGTCAGTAAACCTTAAGAATAGGTTTGAAGAGATTAGTCAGAATTCAGGGGAGTGTCATTCTGAAGCTATGAAAGAAAGGCTTTAGAATGGGAGGATCTGACATTTATCTAATGGGACTTTGGAAAAAGAGAATAGAGAATGGAGAAGAGACAACTGTCTGGGTAAATGACTAAGGGTTAATGACTAAGGATATTATAGACTTGATGAACAATATAAATCCTCAGTTTGAGAAAACAAGATAAAGAGAAAAATCTTAGAAGACAACTACTTAGAAAATACAGATGACTCAGCTAACAAATATTCATACTGACAAAACAGTCTTCCTGACAATTTTGAAAAATTCTCACCTATTATGTCTTCAAATATTGCTTCTCCCCCATTCTCTCTTTTCACTTTTCTCAGACTCCAACTGGATATGGGTTGGACCTTCCCATGCTATCTACTCTCTTACTCTCCCTTCTATGTTGTCATGTTATCATTCATTCCTTTGTTTCTCTGAACTTCATTCTGGATGGTTTCTTCTGTACTTTAGCTGTGTTTGGCACTAAAGATTAAGGTGATGTAACTTAAGATTAAGGTGATGTAACTTACAGGAAATAGCTGGCCAGTCCTCATTTTCAAACCAATCAAGTAAAAGAGATTTCTGTTAAACAAAAGCACACTTCATTTTAATTCAAATAAATGTGTTGATACACATCTCTGTGATAACTATCTCATTTTTATAATAATAATTCTAACTTAGAGAAGGCAGCCGGGGGCAGTGGCTCATGCCTGTAATCCAAACACTTTGGGAGGCCGAGGCGGGTGGATCACTTGAGGTCAGGAGTTCGAGACCTGCCTGGTCAAAATGGTGAAACCCCAACTCTACTAAAAATACAAAAATTAGCTGGGCATGGCGGCAGGCACCTGTAATCCCAGCTACTTGGGAGGCTGAGGCAGGAGAATTGCTTGACTCTGGGAGACAGAGGTTGCTCAGTCTAGGTGACACAGCATGACTCTGTCTCAAAAAAAAAAAAAAAAAAAAAAAAGGAGAAGGCAGGAGTTTGTTGTCCAGATGAAATAATTTTTCAATATTCTCCAATATTTCTGACCTAATCTCTTTTTGGATTTCTATCATGGGACTCTCTCTAGGACTATGCATTCTGGAATTTTCCCTTCCTTTGAGATTTTTATTGCTTAGGACAGTGAACCACCATAAGAAATGGGATGAATAAGAGATACACCTCTCTTTTGTAGTGGGAGTAAAAGGCTTTTGGATAACTCAAGTTGGAAAAGAAAAAGTAGAGATCAGGCATCCATTCTCAAGAGGTAATTTTTAGCTAAGGTTATCTCTCAACCTGAGGATGTGCAGAATAATTCCTTCAAAAATATAACCCAGTTTAAAAATTGAAGGTCTTTGTCCTAGGGCATTTCATCTACCTAGGATTTGGGTGAGATAAAAATATTTACAAGTTAAGGTTTCCTAAAATTTCTACTGGAATGAATATGATTAAAAGCTATTTAACAGGTCAGCTCTGCTAACAGCAACAGCCTGAATTCTAAAATGATGTTAAATAAAACTGCTGCAGGCATTGATTTTATGAGCTTTTTCTTCTTCTAAGTATGAAAAAAGAGAACACTTAAAAAATTTCAAAGAACCACTAAAAAGATTAATTCATCTCAGAATATTTACACACATAGAACACCCACACACAGACAGTAGGGCTGTTTAACACATCAAGCTCTGACTAGAACAGCTAATACGTGCTGGACGTGATTAAACTTTGAGTTTAGCTGCCAGCTATGATTTGTCCCAATTAAGGCAGTTACAATTTTTAGTCACTAAAGCTTGCCTCATCAAGTTAATACCTTATTCCACAGTGCCAAAATTAGATTTAAAGCCTCAAGAAACTTTAGAAAAATTTAAAAGGAAATAAGAAAGTATAAGAAATAAGAGCATGCAAAATCATTATGAAAAACAGAACACTTCAAAAAACCACACACAGATTCAACACAATTCTGCCACCACCTGACAAATGGCTATCCCTGTTAACTTAAAAATACTGATGGTACATAACTGAAAAAAAAAAGTCAGTTAATATTATCTAAGCATATTATTTCCTTTTTTAACTGGCAAATCTCAGCTATAAACAGAAGGGCTCATTCAAAAAGTAAATTATGAGAGCAGGCCCCCTTGCAGAGTACTCAGAGTTCCCTTGAGAAAGCAGAGCACATGCATTCTTTGTATGCTAAAGCCCAGAGGCTAAAAGGGACTAAAGTTTAAGATTTTAATCCTTACAATATGCACAGTAGCTTTCCTATCAGCTTAGCTATTACTGCCCAAGAGTGATGGGGAGACTAAAAAACAAAGTGATAGGGTAATGAGAAAAATTCTTCATTAATTCATCTTCTAAAGGATGATAGAAAACAATAACCCTAACTTTTCTTGGCAATGACGGTGATAAGAATCACCTTCTAGATTTTCTGATATTTTTTTCTCGTAACTCTCATGAATTGTGCTAGTAAACTAATCTGGAAAGCCGAAGCTGTGCTCCATACCTGCCATGTCCTTGCCCCACTCCCAAAGAGAAGAGCTACAAAAGCCTTGAAAATAGTATTCATCATGTTCTGTACACTTTCCTCATCAACATTTAAAATGAAGCCACTGTCTTTTCCTAAAATGACAATGACCAGTTTGTGAACTTAAAAGAAGCAGAAAGTATCTAAAACCAATAACCTTAAAATAATCTGTTAATGAGTGTAAACTAGTTTTAGGTTTCAAACACATGGAAACATTCAAATCCAGAAAGGCTGATTTCCTGAAGCTATTGCTGCTAAAGTAGATAACCTGTTGTTCTCTGTAACTAGCCCTAATGCAGCTTCATGGTTTACAGAACCACCTGTCCCAAGTTAACTCCCAAGATTCAAAGTCTAGGAAACCTCACTTTCGTTTCTTTTCCACTTTGAAACTGAATACATTGAGGAAACCAAAACAATGAAAAAATCAAGCAGAAAGCGCTAGTCAAAGAAGGAATGTAACTACTGGATCTGGCTAGCCAAACACTCAGCAATTACGAAATGCATAATTTTGATCAAACTGCATATAAAGAATCTTAAAAAATATAAACCTGTCTCTGCAAACTTCCAACTCTCTTTACCTACCCTGCCATTCTGGGAAAATCCTATCCACATTACAAGAAGTTAAATATATTATGCTTATAAGAGAAATTAACAACTTGCTAACTCGAATGCTTAAAGAAGGATTTTAGGCCTATCTTTCAGAATTCTGTTTATGATAATTGATTTTAGACCTTGCTTTTAATTCATATTTATAATCCCTAAAAAAATCAGTATTTTAGTTAATAATTTACAGTTTAAAATTATTTACATAGACCACTCTACCAATAAATAGAAAGCATTTCTTTTTTTTTTTTTTACCTTTTTTTCTTTTTTGAGATGGAGTCTTGCCCTGTTGCCCAGGCTGGAGTACAATGGCGCGATCTCGGCTCACTGCAACCTCCGCCATCCGGTTTCAAACGATTCTCCTGCCTCAGCCTCCTCAGTAGCTGGGATTGCAGGCACACGCCACCATGCCCAGTTTTTTTTTTTTTAACTTTTAGTAGAGACAGGTTTTACCATGTTGGCCAGGCTGGTCTCGAACTCCTGACCTCGTGATCCACCCGCCTCAGCCTCCCAAAGTGCTGGGATTACAGGCGTGAGCCACCGTGCCCGGCCAACGTATTTCTTTTTAAAGACAGCAGATTTCCAAAGAACAAGAATTGGTAAGGATGTGGAGAAAAGGAAACCCATGTACACTGTTGGAGGGAATATAAACTGGTGTAGCTGTTATGCAAAACAATATGAAGATTCTTCAAAAAATTAAAAATACAATTACCATTTGATCTAGCAGTCATACTTCTGGGTATATATCCAAAGGAACTGAAATCTGGATCTCAAAGAGATTACCTGCACACTCCCATGTTCTCTGCAGCATTTTTCACAATAGCCAAGATATGGAAGCAACCTAAATGTCCATCTACGGAGGAACAGATTAAGAAAATGTGGAAAATACATATAGTTGGTCTTGTCGCCCAGGCTGGAGTGCAATGGCATGATCTCGGCTCACTGCAACCTCTGCCTCCCAGGTTCAAGTGATTCTCCTGGTTCAGTCTCCTGAGTAGCTGGGATTACAAGCATGTGCCACCATGCCGGCCTAATTTTTGTATTATTAGTAGGAAGGGGTTTCACCATGTTGGCCAGGCTGGTCTTGAACTCCTGACCTCAGGTGATCCACCCACCTCGGTCTCCCAAAGTATTGGGATTACAGGCGTTAGCCACCGTGCCCTGCATTTGTCAGCTTTTTAAAATGAGTTATGTATTATTTCTTTCATCATTCTAAACAAAAACTCAGCCTCATACTCCCTCCACTCCCCGCCCCTGCCCATCCCCTGGCACAAAAAGACAACAAATCTCAAAGTTTTTGTTCCAAGGCAGAAATGTATTTGGAAAAGGGAGTATTTTAATAGCATTTTCAGATAATTGAGGATATTCCTCTTTGATACTACACCAAAACCTGATGGGTGATTTTTTTTTTTTTTTTTTTTTTTTTAAAGACAGTGTCTCGCTGTGTCACCCAGGCTGGAGTAGAGTGGTGCAGTGCCTCACTGTAGCTCCTGGGCTCAAGTGATCCTCCCACCTTAGTCTCACGAGTAGCTGAGATTACAGGCATGAGACACCATGCCTGGCTAATTTTTGTATGTTTTGTAGAGATGAAGTTTTGCCGTGTTTCACAGGCTGGTCTTGAACGCCTGGGCTGGGCTCAAGTGATCCGCCGGCCTCCGCCTCCCAAAGTGCTGGGATTACAGGCATCAGTCACGGCCCGGCTGATAGTTTCATGATGATTAGTTTAAGTGAAATCTAAAGACCTCAATCGTGAGAGAGTCTTGAGGTCCTTGAAGGATCCAAAAAAACCACACTTTGAGAACGGCTGTTTTTTTAAATCATTAATTCAATTTGATCACAAACGTGACTAAATTGATACCTAATGGTTTATTCAGACTGCATATCATCTTGGTGCATTCAACTGAATCAGAATCAGGTTAGACAATGTTTTTTTCAGCACTACAGTAAATTCTGATGTATAACAGGGATGTATTAATTATAGAAAAAAGCTGATATATATGTATACTGGAAAGGATGGTCAGAGATGGTGCAGAATACACTATTTTTCACTGTACATCATTTAGGCTCTATTTAAATAATATATATTTTATACTTTGATAAAAAGTATGCACATACTTCTTATTAAAATAATTTTGATCAAGGATGTCAAATTTACTATTTTTAGTCAGTTAAAAAAGAACATGCAAAAATTCTATTATAGAACAAAATAATAATTCACTTTCCTTTACGAGTTCTTTAGACAAAATCATGTCCTTTGCAACAACATGAAGATGGTGGCCATTATCCTAAGCAAACTAACACAGTAAACCAAATATTTTTCTCACTTATAAGTGTGAGCTAAACTTTGGGTACACATGGACATAAAGATGGGAACAATAGACACTGGGGAATACAAGATGGGGGAGAAGTGAAGAGGGGCAAAGGGTTGAAAAACTACCTATTGGGTTCTATGCTTACTTCCTGGGTGATGGGTTCAATTGTACTCCAAACCTTACCATCATGCAATATACCTTTGTAAAAAACCTGCACATGTACCCCAGAATCTAAAATAAAAGTTGAATAAATAAATAAATAATGATGTAGTATAAAAAAAGAGTTCTTTGGCTTATCAAGTTTATCCCCTATAGACCTCTTCACACCTTTTTTTTTTTTTTTTTTTTGAGACAGAGTTTCGCTCTTGCTGCCCAGGCTGGAGTGCGATGGTACGATCTTGGCTCACCGCAACCTCCGCCTCCTGGATTCAAGCAATTCTCCTGCCTCAGCCTCCCAAGTAGCTGGGATTACAGGCATGCTGCCACCACACCTGGCTAATTTTTGTATTTTTAGTAGAGACGGGGTTTCTCCATGTTGGTCAGGCTGGTCTCAAACCCCCGACCTCAGGTCATCCGCCTGCCTTGGCCTCCCAAAGTGCTGGGATTACAGGTGTGAGCCACCATGCCTGGCCCACATCTTCTTGTAGTCCTAAATACCATACGTATTCTTGGAGAGCATTCTCCAAACCAGAAATTTGTCCAAAGTTTTTCCTAACAAGAAAGCTCGCAATGCACACTTGTCAGGAGTCTACAGGACCATAAAACATACGAAAGCTAACATTTGTAACTGTCCTCATCTCTACTGTGATCTAGAAAAGCCCTGTTTTGTTTCAAGTAAATATAGCATGTGCTAAATTTGTGATACGTGATGAAATGGAGAGTGTTTGTAAGATCTCAGGGCCCTTTCACCACCTAAAGTAAGACAGAAGGAGGTTGAGAGGAGGGTTTCTCCAGCATAAACAATATCCCTTAATTTCCAGCCTTTCTGACACCTCTCTCTGTCCACTGCAGTTCAAGTATGACCCCCTTTTTTTTTTGAGATGGAGTTTCACTCTTGGTTGCCCAGGCTAGAGTACAATGGTGCGATCTTGGCTCACTGCAACCTCCACCTTCTGGGTTCAAGCAATTCTCCTGCCTCAGCCTCCCAAGTAGCTGGGATTACAGGCGCGTGCCACCATGCCCAGCTAATTTTTGTATTTTTAGTACAGACAGGGTTTTACCATGACGGCCAGGCTGGTCTCAAACTCCTGACCTCAGGTGATCAGCCTACCTCAGCCTCCCAAAATGCTGGGATTACAGGCGTGAGCCACTGTGCCAGGCCAGTATGACACTTTTCTACCTTGTGAATGACTTTTGGTGAAGAATCTTTGCTAAATATTAGTCCAACTGAGTCAGCTGAGCAAAGCTTCAATGCTGAAATTTTTTGAAAAGGCATAAACAAAGTTCAAGTAACATGAAGGCATGTGGACATAAAGAACCAGCCTTAAGAAATTTCCAGAGAATGGGATTTAACTACCAAATAACATGTATTATAAATATTTCTGGCTTGTTAGGTGAAATGGGTTTAAGTTTTCCTAGACAGCTGCCTGGCAATCAATGTTTCTGCTAACCAGCATTAAGAGCTACTTTTGCTATATCATGAACAAAGCCAGTCAAGCTGTTTCAATGAAAAATAAACAAATGGAAAATGTTGGCTTTCTATTTGCAACTTCAACTAAATTTCATTAAGATACAATATGCCTGAGTAAGAATCAATCTTCATTTGTATTTACTGGGCATATGTTGATATATAATTCCAATTAATTTGACTTGACTTTAATACTCTACAATACCCTATGATGCTACTATTGTGACCCCAATCCTAATCCTCTTGTACAGTAGTTGTTTTAGATATGAGGAGGATTAAAGTAGTATAGAGAACTGATGAAGTGAACATATTTGTAAATGGGCAAACTAGCATGCAAACTTAAAGGTAATGAACATAGATATACATATATGCACGCACTTGTGTGTATATATTTACTTATTTAATCCTCTTTTGTCAATCTCAGCCAACGTTATGTTAAATAATCTGAATCTAGTAGCAAACACTCTTAATTCTCCTTGTAAGAAAATGACTTACATCATTTGTTCAACCAAATAAGCATGATTTTATTTAGGGAGAATGAGGCTATTATATAAGAAAGGTGTGGGGGTATAAAATGGATCACTTACTTTTGGGATAAGTACCCACATCAGTACAACTTTTTTCAAAAGATAGTGACCCATTCATTTTAAATTGAAAACCGGAATTTTCCAGTGTCTACTAAAAGCACCACAGATTAGCCGGGCATGGTGGCGTGCGCCCGGAGTCCCAGCTACTCAGAAGACTCTCTTGAACCTGGAAGGCGGAGGCTGCAGTGAGTGGAAAGGAAGAATGGGGTATACTTTGTTAGCTAACAAAGAAAGATTTGTAGAAGGGCAATATTTTAGGATAATAGCCAAAGAAGATCAAATATCAATGTCCTAAATTATCAAACTTCATCGTATTGTTTTTGCAATTAAAATTGCAAACCGGCTGGGCGCAGTGGCTCACGCCTGTAATCCCAGCACTTTGGGAGGTCAAGGCGGGTGGATCACCTGAGGTCAGGAGTTTGAGACCAGCCTGGCCAACATGGCAAAACCTCGTCTCTACTAAAAATACAAAAATTAGCCGGGCATGGTGGTGGGCGCCTGTAATCCCAGCTTCTCAGGAGGCTGAGGCAGGAGAATCACTTGAACTCAGGAGGCGGAGGTTGTGGTGAGCCGAGATCACACCACTGCACTCTAGCCTGGGTGACAGCATGAGACTCCATCTCAAAAAAAAAAAAAAAAAAAAAGATTGCAAACTAAGATTTAAAAAATTACACACCATACAACTGTATCATCATTTTTAAAAAGTATATCAGGATATACACCAAACTTTTTGGCCATTCATTCAACAAATCTGAGTGCCTGGAGTAAAGGCAGTAAAAGAGAAAAAGAGACAGACATAATCCCTGCCTTCATGGAGCTTAGATTCTGGGAAAGAAAGAAAGTAAATAGGTAAACAAATTAATTAAATAAATATGTTCTAATAGGCATACTTAAAATGCCATATTGCTGGAGGTTGAGAAGGGGAGTTAATATGCTCTTTCCATATAACTATGTTGACTGACTTGTTCCAATGAACATGTATTACCTGATAGTAAAGAAAATATGGCCAGGTATGGTGGCTCACACCTGTAATCCCAGCACTTTGGGAGGCAGAGGCGGGAGGATCACCTGAGTCCAGGAGTTCAAGACCAGCCTTGGCCATATGGCGAAACCCTGTCTCTACAAAAAATACAAAAAATTAGACAGCAGTGGTGGCACACACTTGTGGTCCCAGCTACATGGGAGGCTGAGGATCACTTGAGCCCAGGAGGTGGAAATTGCATGAGCCAAGATCACGCCACTGGACCCCAGCCTGGGCAACAGAGTGAACCCGTCTCAAAAAACGAAAAACAAAGCCCCACAAAGTAGTAGTTTTAAAACATGACAAGTTATACATGTGTGTTATAGAAAAATTAAAAGATATGTGTGAATAGAAAATAAAATTTACCTGTCATTCTACCATCCTCATTTAAAGTTATTTATGTTTTGATGTAAATCCTGACTTCCTTTTATGATAGTCATGCATATGAATAAACATAAATATGGAATATGTATGTATATGCTGCTTAATAGACATTTTCCATTAATATCAGAAACTTCCTTTTTTTTGACGGAGTCTCGCTCTGTCGCTGAGGTTGGAGTGCAGTGGTGCAGTCTTGGCTCACTGCAACCCCTGCATCCCAGGTTCAAGCCATTCTCATACCTAAGCCCCACGAGTAGCTGGGATTACAGGTGGGCGCCACCACATCTGGCTACTTTTTATATTTTTAGTAGACATGGGGTTTCACCGTGCTGGCTAGGCTGGTCTCAAACTCCTGACCTCAAATGATCTGCCCGTCTCGGCCTCCCAAAGTGCTGGGATTACAGGCCTGAGCCACTGCACCCAGCCTCTTTTTTTTTTTTTTTTTTGTTTGAGACGGAGTCTCTCTCTGTCACCCAGGCTGGAGTGCAGTGGCGTGATCTCGGCTCATTGAAACCTCCACCTCCCAAGTTCAAGCGAATCTCCTGCCTTAGCCTCCTAAATAGCTCGGATTACAGGTGCCTGCCACCGTGCCTGCCTAATTTTTGTATTTTTAGTAAGGGTAGGGTTTCGCCCTGTTTGCCATGGCGGTCTCAAACTCCTGACCTCAGGCCACCCGCCTCAGCATCACAAAGTGCTGGGCTTATAGGCATAAGCCACTGTGCCTGGCCGGAAACATTTTTTGATGTGTCTAGTTCCACAATGCTGTTTTTGAAGAACAGCATTCTGGTCTATGGATGTATTATACTTTAAAACATTACCTACTGTTGGCCGGGCATGGTGGCTCACGCCTGTAATCCCAGCACTTTGTGAGGCCGAGGCGGGTGGATCACCTGAGGTCAGGAGCTTGAGACCAGCCTGGCCAACGTGGTGAAACCCCGTCTCTACTAAAAATATGAAAATTAGCTGGGCATGGTGGCGGGTGCCTGTAATCCCAGCTACTTGGGAGGCTGAGGCAGGAGAATCACTTGAACCCGGGAGTCGGAGGTTGCAGTGAGCCGAGATCGTGCCACTGCACTCCAGCCTGGGCGATGGAGCAAGACTCGGCCTCAAAAAAAAAAAAGAAAAAAAAAAATTACCTACTGTTGTCCAGGTGCGGTGGCTCACACCTGTAATCCCAGCACTTTGAGAGGCCGAGGCAGACAGATCACCTGAGGTTGGGAGTTCAGGACCAGCCTGACCAACATGGAGAAACCCCATCTCTACTAAAAATACAAAATTAGCCAGGCATGGTGGCGCACGCCTGTAATCTCAGCTACTAGGGAAGCTGAGGCAGGAGAATCACGTGAACCCAGAGGCGGAGATTGAGGTGAGCCAAGATCATGCCATTGGACTCCAGCCTGGGCAACAAGAGCACAACTCTGTCTCAAAAACAAAACAAAAAAACCTACTGTTGCACATTTAGGTTGCTACATTCTTTTTTCCTTTTATAGTATTTTCCACACTACTGTGGAAAACTAGAAATTTAGGATATAATTTTAGACAAAGAATTTCTGCAAATTCTATTTTTTATTCATATTGCCAACTTGCTGTTAAGATTCTACCAATTTCTTCTTCCTACCACAGTGTAACAAAGGGTTATTTTTTCACTCTTTCACTGCATTTTGTGGCAAAAGTATCTTCAACTAACAACCATGGCCACAGCAATATTAAAAAACTAAGAGTAGGTTGGGCACAGTGGCTCACACCTGTAATCCCAGCACTTTGGGAGGCCAAGGCAGGCGGATCCACTTGAGTTAAAAAAAAAAATCCCTATATCTCATCCAAATATTAGCATTAGATGAACTTCAAGTAATCTAATTTTCCCAGTTTTTGAGAAGTAGAGAAAAATATGAAACCAGAAAAAAAAACCTCTCAGTGATGTAATGCTTTCTAGATCTACTGCTCTCTACAGTGAAAGAAGCAGAAAAGTTTTTGTTTTGTTCTGTTTTGTTTGTTTGTTTTTCTTGAGAGGGAGTCTCGCTCTGTCGCCCAGGCTGTAGTGCAGTGGCACTATCTCGGCTCACTGCAACCTCCGCCCCTCGGGCTCAAGCAATTCTCCTGCCTCAGCCTCCCAAGTAGCTGGGATTACAGGCATGCACCACCACGCCCAGCTATTTTTTGTATTTTTAGTAGAAAGGGGTTTCGCCATGTTGGTCAGGCTAATTTTGAACTCCTGACCTCAGATGATCCACCCAACTCAGCCTCCCAAAGCGCTGGGAGAAAGAACTTATCAATCTTGTTTTCTGAGCTATTCTTGGCACAAAGAACTTATCTATCTTGTTTTCTGAGCTATTATTACACCAGCAAATTTTGCCTTTTTTAATGCTTCATTTTTGCCTTCTTCTCACAGACTGAAAAACTGGCTACTACCTAAGTTGAGAGTCCTATGTCCCTTTCACATATTAATTTATTTCTTGGTTGGCCAGGAGTTTCCAAATATAGACCCATTTCACATTTTATAAAATGACATGAGATGTCATGGAGAAAAGAAAGCTGGGGGCTATGTCCATCAATAGTATGTTTTGCTTGGCAGAATTCTAAATTATATTCTGGAATAAATAATGGTATGTGTTCTATTTTCTACAGCAACTCAAAATATATTCAACAAATCGATATCTAAGTGGGCCATTTAAATTTATTAACACATAACCTACCCTGTTCCAGAATTTGAAGAAATGTACTGGCTGGATTAAAGTTACAAATAAGTGAGTTGTCAGGATTATATCATTTATGTTACTTTGAATGTAAATGAGTATTCGAATATATTAATAATAGATGGTATTTCTATTACAATCTACTTCACTTCCACTATCAGATGCCAAATAGGGAGAATAAGTGGATTATAATTCATTAAGAAAAAGATAAACAACAGAGAAAGCTTTTCCTTTTCTTGCAAAGAGCTAAATTGAACTATTCACTCACAGAAATAATTAACATTTTACTTAGTTTTACATTAACAAAATCTTTGAGGACTAGAGACAACAAAGTAATATAACATTTCATTTTAAAGTTTTAGTCTCATTTTAAACGTTTTTAAACCATATTTTAAATATGTATTTACATCTCTAATCTCTTCTAATAACTTTCTAATAACTGCTTGTATATAACAGTAACTGTTTAAAAATTCCTTGAGTAAGTCTGAACTTCATTATGATGCTATCTTTGACTTCCCCCATTATCTCCAATAAAGATCTAAGTTGTTTTGTTTTCTTGTTTGCTTCACCAGTAACAGACAAATCTCACAAAAGAGTATTAAAATTGAGTACTCTTTGGCACTGAAACATGATTCACCATTCTCTCCATGGAAATCTTTAGTAAAAGGAGAAAAATTTGCTGGGTGTGGTGGCTCACGCTTGTAATCCCAGCACTTTGGGAGGCCAAGGTGGGCGGATCACCTGAGGTCAGGAGTTCGAGAACAGCTTGGCCAACATGGTGAAACCCCATCTCTACTAAAAATACAAAAAATTAGCCAGGCGTGGTGGTATGCGCCTATAATCCCAGCTACTTGGGAGGCTAAGGCAAGAGAATCGCTTGAACCCAGGAGGCGGAGGTTGCAAGTGAGCCAACATCACGCCACTGTATTCCAGTTTGGGCAATGAGAGCGAAACTCCAGCCGGGGGCGGCGGGGGAGAAAAAAAAAAGAGAAAAGTTCATGTGATCTGAAGAGAAACCAGGGTATACTATTCTCAAATGTTTACTTGCAAAGCTTTTTGGGAAGATATTTGCAGGCATTAAAAATGTATCAAAGTCAGCATTCTTACCTCAAAACAGCACCATTAAATAGCCTTTTTAATTGCTAACGATATAAATCTTAGACTATGCTGCCATTAAGATAATTGTCAGTTATTTTATTAGAAATATACAATATATTTTTTTTTAGATGGAGTCTAGCCTAAAATATACAATTTTTTTTTTTTTGAGACAGTCTTGCTCAGTTGCCCAGGCTGGAGTGCAATGGTGCGATCTGGGCTCAATGCAACCTCCGTCTCCCGGGTTCAAGCAGTTCTCTTGCCTCAGCCTCCAAAGTAGCTGGGATTACAGGCAACCGCCATCATGCCCAGCTGATTTTTATATTTTTGTAGAGGCAGGGTTTCATCATGTTGGCCAGGCTGGTCTCGAACTCCTGACCTCAGGTGTTCTGCCTGCCTGGGCCTCCCAAAGTGCTGGGATTATGGGCATGGCCCCTGCACCGGCCAATATACAATTTTCAAATGAGTGTTTTATTTTATTTTATTATTTTTTTGAGACAGAGTCTCGCTCTGTTGCCCAGGCTGGAGTGCAGTGGCGTGATCTCCGTTCACTGCAAGCTCCGCCTCCCGGGTTCACGCCTTTCTCCCGCCTCAGCCTCCCGAGTAGCTGGGACTACAGGCGCCCACCACCATGCCCGGTTAATTTTTTGTATTTTTAGTAGTAAAATATTTGCATTTTTAGTAGTAGAGACAGGGTTTCACCGTGTTGGCCAGGATGGTCTCGATCTCCTGACCTTGTGATCCGCCTGCCTCGCACTCCCAAAGTGCTGGGATTACCTCCACCTCTCAGGTTCAAGCGATTCTCCTGCCTCAGCCTCCCAAGTAGCTGGGATTACAGGCATGCGT
Organism: Homo sapiens; assembly: GCF_000001405.40. NCBI lineage: Eukaryota > Metazoa > Chordata > Mammalia > Primates > Hominidae > Homo > Homo sapiens. Next base: position 39,780 of record NW_009646196.1, read on the forward strand.
CACCATGCCCGGCTAATTTTGTATTTTTAGTAAAGACAGGGTTTCTCCATGTTGGTCAAGCTGGTCTCGAACTCTCAACCTCAGGTGATCCACTCACCTCGGCCTCCCAAAGTGCTGGGATTACAGGCGTGAGCCACTGTGCCCGGCCTCAAAGGAAAATTATTATGCCTTAATTTGTGACAATCATTTTATTCTCTGTTAGCATATACACAAACATTTTGTTCCCTCTCATTTGTGAGGTCAGAATTTATGATGATTAGTAAATAAAACCAAGTCAATAACCAAGAAATGGCATCATGATTCTGTAGAATCCTGTGACATCAGCATCTGTGTGCCGTGTTGCTTCACAGGTTCTGGCTAACTTCATTCTAACCTTGGAACAGAAGTAAAGAAGTTAGGAGCAGGGGTCCTTAGACTCTGGTGCCAGGGATTCCTTTGGCCATTTAGTAAAACTTATGGAACCCTTGTCAGAATAATGTTTTCTTTTTTTAATATAATTTTATTTTTTTTTCTTAAACAAATAGAGACAGGGTTTCGCCATGCTGCCCAGTCTGCTCTTGAACTCCTGGGCTCAAGTGATCCACCCACCTCAGCCTCCCAAGTGCTGGGATTACAGACGTGAGCCACGTGCCCAGACAGAATAATGTTTTTAAATGCATAAAATAAAATGCAAAGATAGAACTGTCAAAATACTTTAATTGCAATTAACAATGTGCTTTTAAAAAATAAAATAAGATCCAGCAGTGGGTCTAATAATCACACTAATTTTGAGGTAGTGATAAGCTTAAACAATTTCAAGATAGCTATAACAGCTGCATTATGGTATGAAGTACATGATTTCTACTGGTGACAAAGTCACAGGTACTGCTAATACAACTATGGTTTGTTGCCTACACTCATATTTGAATGAAATTCCAAGTTTTAGTTATAGGTTAATGAAAAGATATAATATTTTTCCCCCAAACAAGTTCACAGACCCCTCGAATTCAATAGACCTTAGGGGATCAATATGCAGACCCCAGGATAAAAATTTCTCATACAGGAACAGAAGAGCAGGTCAATAAAGTACAAACATAAGTTTTGGTTTCCAAAACTCAATAAGACAAATTACAAAGGCCCTGTTACCTCCAAAATAGTCTAACACACCACAGCAGTGTATAGACTTTCATTCATTCAATAATCTTCAAAAGGTTTGTGTAGGAAGAGCAAAATCAGAAGGAAGACATATTTTTCAATCAATGATCAAATATATAGCTTACGATATCAGTAGATTTTGAGGAAATTCTCCTATACTAAGGCTAAGTCATTGTAATTAAGTCAGATTCAACAATATCATGAGTTGTGATTAGCAACATGATAGTGTAGATAACCAACAGAGTTGGATCTTACTCTGCAGGACAAATGGTCAGTGACACCCTTCAATGGCTCAGCCCATGCAGCTGCCTCACTGGTGTGGTGGATGTGAACCCTTCTTATCATTATGCATACTGTGATCCCAGAAGATTGTTATTGCTAGACAGGTGAGGTAGCTCACACCTGTAATCCCAGCACTTTGGGATGCCAAGGCAGGAGGATGGCTTGGGGCCAGGAGTTTGAGGCCAGCCTGGGTAACATAGTGAGACCCTATCACTAAAAAAATGTTTAAATAAATTAGCTGAGCATTATGGCCCATGCCTGTAGTCCTAGCTACTCAAGAGGCTGAGGTGGCTCTGCTTGAGCCCAGGAGTTACAGGCTGCAGTGAACCATGATGGTTTCACTGTACTCCAGCCTGGGCGACAGAGTGAATTTATAAATTTATAAATTATAATTTATAGATTTATAAAATTATAATTTATAAATTTAGAATGTATAAATTCTATACATTCTATCTTTAAAAAAAAGATTGTTATTGCATTTTAATCTCTTCTCAGGATGACACTAGGAACCAAACATGCCACCTAAACTAGTCCTTCCATTCATTGTAAAAATCTCCTATAACACTCCCTTCCTGCAAAGAGAAAAATATATAAACTAGGTAGCAGTATTACAAATGAAAAGTGGGGGGTTGGACGAGAAATAACAAAAGGGACAAGAGATTGGCACCAACTGCATGTGGTAGGGCAGGGGGGCCTACTAGGAGAAATATTAAGAAGATTCAGAGGTTTTAAGCCTGGCTACCTTCAAGAATGGTAGAATCAGAAGAAAAAAACTAGGTTTGGAGGATGAAGGAAAGTTGAGAACAGGCAGAGATAATGAGCTTTAAGTGACATATTAAGTTCAAAATGCCCAAGAAGCAACTGGAAAAGCAGATCATCAATAAGAGTGTTCAACCCCTGTCCTTGAGGAACTTACAATCTGGAATCCTTTTATAGCTAAAGATTTGGATTTAGTAGTGATTCTACTAGGTATTCTCTAAAAGCTGTGGGAACAGCAAAGTCCTCCAAGAAAGAGCATGAAAGACCAAAAGAAACGCCATAAATTTAAGGACAAAAATTTTAAATATTCTAAATACTAAAAGCCATTTGAAATGTTAACATCAAGTGCTAAAAACACTTTTACAACTTAAAATAGTGGCCTTTTAAGAGGATATACCTCAATACATTTAAATACATTTCCAGAAAACGACAGTGTCTCAATAACATAGCATATTGTATTAAAACATAAACTTTAACTTGTCCTTCCTATTCAAACTGTACCTCTCTTTATAGAGGTATTCTAGTTAAATTAAAAATAAATGGTAGAATTAAAGGCATAATTATTTCCACTTGCAAACCACTAGTGAAATAATGAAAACAGGCTATTAGTGTAGTACAAAGAGGGATAACCAAATATATGCCTCCTGAAGGAAGTACACACCAATATCTAGGAATTATACTTGTCCTCTCCCCCAACACTCCCACTCGGAAATCAAACCTGAACTAAATTTGTTCAGTCTTCAATCTAGCTACCAATTTACAAGAAATACAAAGGATAGAGGGACATATTAAACTAGGACATGTTAAATCTATACCTGAGGGACATATTCATCAACATCCAGGATGAGAGAAACCGGAGGAAAAATGGCCTGGTTCCTTCAACAAATATTAGGTTGGTGCAAACATAATTGCGGTTTTTCAATTGCCATTGAAAGTAATGGCAAAAACCACAATGACATTTGCACCAACCTTACAAGGAAAATACATTACGAGGAAAATAATTAAGATGAGGGAACCTATAGATTAAAAAGTTTAAGAGACATCCCAAACAAATGTAATATGTTACCTTGTTTGGACCCCAAATCAAACCAACCAATTATTTAAAAACAACTGAGGAATATTTGAATACTGACTGGATATTTGGCGATGTTAATTTTTAAAGGTAGGGTAATGGCATTGTGGTTATGACTTTCTCGAGAGTTATCTTTCAGATATCTATATTGAAATAAAACAAATGAAATCATTTGTAGAATTTGCTTCACAGTAATCCAGTAGGGTCTGGGGAAAGTAGATAGGGGAAGAGAGAAATCGTGTCGCTCAACTCTTTGTGTTTTGAAATTTTCCATACTTAACTGTTCAAAAGGGAAAAAAGAAAAACACCATTCTCAGGGGTTGCCAACAAAAACTGAAAACAACAGTTTGAATTTTGTCTCCAAGCCTTACAAGCTGAGCAGCCCTGGTCTAGTCACACAACTTTTTAGTGTCCCTATTGGTTAAATGGAGACAAACAAATACCACCTAATAAACTCGTATTTGTTCAAGCCAGAAACCTGGGTTATATCCTTAACGTCTCTGACTTTCCCAGTCTCCCACATCTGGTCTCCACCAAATCCTCCACCAAATCCTGTCTGTTTCTCTACCAAATCCTGTCTTGTCCATCACTGTGGTCTCACACCACTCCAACAGCCTCCTTTCAGCCTGTTCTCCATATTGCATCCAAAGTGATGTTCCTAAAACACAAAATCCAATCAGGTTATCCCCAGCCCCACTGAAAATCCTTTTTTTTTTTTTTTTTTTGAAACAGAGTCTTGCTCTGTCGCCTGAGCTGAGCTGAAGTGCAGTGGTGTGATCTCAGTTTTCATTGCAGCCTCCACCTCCTGGGTTCAAGCTGTTCTCCTGTATCAGCCTCCCAAGTAGCTGGGATTACAGAAGCATGCCACCATGCCTGGCTAATTTTTTGTATTTTTAATAGAGACAGGGTTTCACCATGTTGGCCAGGCTGGTCTTGAACTCCTGACCTCAAGTGATCCACCCGCCTTGGCCTCCCAAAGTGTTGGGATTACAGGCGTGAGCCACCAGCTTGAAAATCCTTCAACTGCTTTCAATCAGCTTCAAGACAAGAGCGCTCCTTTAAAATTTTTTTACCCTCCTTTATCCCTTAAAAATCCCTTTAATTTTTTTACCCTCCTTGATTCCTTAAAATGGCTTACAAGGCCCTCCATTTTCTCATACTGTCTATCTCTTCAACTTCTATCTCTTCCCATTCTCTTTGACTTTTTTATGCTTTAGCTTTGGTAAAATTCAGCTCTTGCATTACACCCTGTACTCTTGAGTGTAGCTTCAGTGTTCATGTCTGGAATGTTCTTTCCACCCATCATCACTGTCTTGCCTGGCTAGCTCTTTCATCCTTCAAGTCTCAGGTTAAACAGTATTTCCTCAGAGAGGTCTAGCCAAATTGCTTCTATACTAAGTTGGGTGTCTTCTCACACCTACACAATACAGTATTTGTTCCTACAGGAACCTGTACCCACCCTATTATAACAGTACCTACTTGTTTGTAAAGAGTATTTGCTGTGGCAATTATATATTTATCTGTTTTCCAGCTAGACTATAACTCTAGGAGGGCAAGTGGTAAAATTTGTTCACTGCTGAATCCTAAGTCTCTCATGGTGCCTGGTAGCCAATAACAAATTGCCGAACATATAAAATTCACAACAATCTGGACTGTTTTCCTCATACCCAAGTTCCATCTTCCTAGTCCTCAACTGCAACAAAAACAAGACAGCTATGTAGGCATTTACGCAGAGATCTTAATCTTGCATAGGAGTGAGCATTATAAAGTGAATTGAAAACACGATGGGAATGCAGAACATAAGGAGCTGAGAAATCTATTTTCAGGCTGAGATAATTTGTATCCAAATTTACAATCTAAAGAAAAATCAGGAGTGCCAATCTAACAAAAATGAGTCCAAAGACACACATAGTTCCCACCAAACCATAACAAGTTTTCAGACCTAAGATGTTAGATCACTTAATCCCTCCAGCCCCAGTTTCCTTATGTGTAAAACAAGGGATCCTGATCAGCTGGTCATTAGGATCCTTTCCAGGGCTAATATATGCCCTAATATTTAAAGGCTAAAACATGTAAACTAGTGAAATACTAATCATTTGCTTTCATCCTATAGTGATATGACTTTTTTCCTTTTTAATCTGTTTAAGGACATTACAGTCTATCCCGTTAAGCTTACAACTAAACCTTCAAATCTATTCAGCTATAAAAATCTTACAAAATGCTCCTCAGATCATTAACTTGCATATTTAACAATGGTAACTGCAATCTGATGAAACAACAGCATCTACCTAAGACCAAAATGAATTACTGAAATATATTCAACTTCTGTGTAAATAATAAATCTTACCACGTGTTTTAAGTGCTAAATATCTTGAATTGTTGGTCATTTCTATGGCAATCTGAAGGCAAAGTCGTGCCCCAGGGTGTAAGACTTGAATTTATGGGTACTATTTAACACCTAACTAAAAAACTGAAGATACATAGTCTTTGCATCACCTCACTGGGCTGGTGGTTGGGATAAAAAAATTGTTGAAACCAGAGTAATTTTTGAAAAAAAAATTCAAAACAAGTTATAGTAAGTTACAGTAAATAAAGTAGCTTAGTAAGTTACAGTAAATAAAGTAGCGTGTAAACATTTTACTGTTATCAGTAGCAGCCCAGTTTCTAATCAGCCACTGGAAACCCAAAGAAAGACTAAAGTAGTAACAAGTTTGTCTCCTGGTTTAGATTAATTACAAACTAGTTTTGGCAACTGCTTGTTCCATCAAATATGTCATGACAAAGTAATAAAATGTTAAAACGCATGCTGGAAAAAAAAAAAGACGTACTTGGAACAAAAAACTTGCATCGGACCAAGTGTAACGCTATCCTCCAGATTTCTCTCAACAGGGCCGCCTTAAGTCCATGAGTAGAAGGGCGCTGCGGCGGACGCTGGCAGCCACAGGTTGAATGACAAAGAGCCCCCGTCAGCACCACTCCCAGGAGTCTGCGGGCTGCCCCGTCCCCTCCGCAAAGTCTACTCGAACCCTGCAGTCACGCCTTGGCTGTGGGGAATGCGGCTCTCCGCACCACTCTCGCAAGTCACCAGGTGGGGCAAGGATCGGCGGGCCAAGAAGGTTGGGGCGGACAATGTCACGAATCATAAATAACTTCTGCCCCGAGTCCCTTCCCTTGGGGCAGAAGCGGCCAGGAGAGTCTGGAGGTACCACATGCAGCAGCCTCATGTTATCCCTTTTCCAGATCAAAGCATCTCTCGAGGAGCCTATTGAAGACTTAGGGGGGAAGGGACTTCCCCACCGTCACCGGGCACCACGACCCAACTCCTCGGCCAGGCCTGGGACCGGCATCTTAGCACGGGGCCCGCGGCTCGGCTAAGAGAGGCGCTGACCCCAGCGCCTCAAGGTCTCCTTCACCAGCACTGCAGTCCGAGGCCACGCGGCTGCCTGTGACCACGATGCCCTCTGCTGGGCCGCCTCCCTCCGCCGGAGACAAAGTCTCCCAACCCCGGAGGTCCCCTCCGACCCCACCAGGGCAGCGAGGGCACCGTGGGGTCCGCGCCGCGTGCCGCCGGCTGTTACCCAACTAACCGTTATATGCGCGGATCGCAGCGCCGAGCGTGTGCGTGACGTGGTGGCGCAGGCTGGAGTTCCACGGGGCCCAGGGTCCGGCTCCCGTCCTTCGCTCGCTGCCTCGTTTGCTTGTTCCAGTACCCACGCAGCTAGCCAGTCACGTCGCAGCTCACCACTTTGTCTGGCCGGGCCAGCGAGGCTGCCTTATAACCCGCCGGGGCCGGAGCATGCGCGCAGGGGGCGGAGTCGTCTCTCCCGGCCGCCGCCCCCTCCCCGCCACACAGACATCCGAACTGCAGCCCGCGCCTCCACACGCTTTCAGCCGCGCGCGCCCTCTAGCTCGCCCGCGCGCGCCGGCGCCCCCTCCCCGCCACGTGACCGGCGTCCCAGTCCGACCCGCGCGCTGCGCCCCTGCTGAGCGGCGCGGAGCTACCACGCCCTGCCAGACTCGCCCTTGGGTCCCTGTCTGACGAGCTCTAGGCAATCTGCCCTCGTTCGGGACACAACCATCGGTCTCACCCCTCAGTTTCTGCCAGAGAAAAAGGAAAAGTCACCGAGAGGCCTGACCCTGACGGGTGGGGGAGATGCGCGTGCGGAGTAGCGGGAAGCGACTGAGGAGCGGGGAATGGGCAGCATTTGAATGGATGCGGGTGCCGCTGGCACCCGGGAAGACGCTGGGGGCCGGCGCTGTAGAGCCGGGCATGGGCTGGGATGTGTTTGGATTCCAATCCGGGCCTGACACCAGTTCAGTGACCTCGGGAAGTTCCCCAACCCTCCGGGCCTGTTTCCTCCCTCTGAAGTGGCGACAGTAGTAGAACCGACCTCGTAGGCTCATCGGGAGGTCCTGATGGGAGAACCCATGCAACTTGCCACCATAGAGCCAGGCCCGCGGCGGTTGGCGCCTGGTGGGTATTAAAGACGAGTCGGGAAAGAAGAGCAGGTAAGAGGGTGGGGAGACTGGCCCAGTGGGTTGGGGTGTGCACCTCGGCCACGTGGAAAAGCGAGAATGCAGAGGCCGGACGCTTATGGACGATGCATATGTGGGGCCGGATAGAATTGTGGCAGGCGGCGCTGGGGCTGATGCTCCTCACCCGGATTATCCTCTCTAATCCTCAGCCCTGTGAAGTGGGCACTGCCCTGAACATTTTGTAAATAAGGGACCCGAGGCTCAGAGAGGTGAAGTAACTTTCCAGACAGCCCAGCTCGTCAGCGGCCAGCATTTGAAGTCACACTCCAGAGCCTGTTTTTAACATAATAGCCGCTGTGACCGCATAACCAACGTGTGTGTTGAAGTGATCAAATAACCATGGAGTGTCTTTGATGTCCAGGACTTTTGAGAAATACCGAAAAATATGAGGCAAGGCCCCTGCCTTCAAAGAGCTTGCAAGTTTTTGGGGGAGACTTAGGCACAAATTAACCAACATCTGTTGAGCACTTGCTGCTTGCCAGGACCCTGCCCTTCCCCTCGTGTCTTCCTCCCTTCCAGGACTCACCCCCTCACTTACCCTCCCCCTCACTTACCCTCCCCCTCAATTCTCACAGCAACCCTGGGAGGTAGGCCTTATGGTTTCTGTTTTGCAAATGAAGAACCTGAGATTGAAGAAGAGTAGAGATTGGAGGATCAGATCCTGAGAGGTCCCATGTGCTTTCCAATAACAGTTCAGTATATTAGAAGACAGTGTGGCATCCACGGCCAAGTACTACTAGTGAGTAATACAGTAATTGCTTTTTACATTTGATAAACACGGAGAAAGGGAAGGCATTTCGGGTCATTGGGGCAGCTAGGACTTATAAGAGCAGTGCTAGGGTGGCAGCAGCATTCAGGTAGATGGTAAGGAGAATTAAGTTAGAGAGACAGGATCCTCAGTCTGGTTCAGAAGTAAATATATAAGGGCCTGTTCTATGGAATGTAGTGAGAAGTGGTTAAATAAGATGAATCCCAGGAAACCTCAAAAGAAGGCTTATAGAGCCCCATAGGGTGGTAGATTCACACTATAGACCTGAGAGCCAGATCTGTTCAGTTCCAAATTTGATTCTTGCACTTACCAGCTCTGTGTCCTCAGGCAAGTCATTTTACCTTTCCAAGCCTCACTCCCAACTCTGTAAAACAAGGATAATACCTACCTCAGGGTTATTATGATAATAAAACTAGTATTTATTTCAGGCCGGCGTGGTGGCTCAACCCTGTAATCCCAGCACTTTGGGAGGCCGAGGTGGGTGGATCACTTGAGGCCAGGATTTTGAGACTAGCCTGGCCAACATGGTGAAACCCTGCCGATACTAAAAATACAAAAATTAGCCATGCGTAATGCATAGTACCAGCTACTCAGGAAGTTGAGACAGGAGAATTGTTTGAACCCGTGAGGCAGAGATTGCAGTGAGCCAAGATCTCATCATTGCACTCCAGCCTGGGCAATAGAGTGAGATTCCATCTCAAAAAAAAAAAAAAAAAAAGGTCCGGGTGCAGTGGCTCATGCCTGTAATCCCAGCACTTTGGGATGCCGAGGCGGATGGAGCACGAGGTCAGGAGTTCAAGACCAGCCTGGCTAATGTGGTGAAACCCTGTCTCTACTAAAAATACAAAAAGTAGCCAGGTGTGGTAGCATGTGCCTGTAGTCCCAGCTACTTGGGAGGCTGAGGTAGAAGAATCACTTGAACCTGGGAGGTGGAGGTTGCAGTGAGCCGAGATGGTGCCACTGCACTCCAGCCTGTCCAGCCTAGGCAACAGAGTGAGACTCCGTCTCAAAAAAAAAAAAAAATTAGTATTTATTTTGCAGTGTCTAGCATATAGAAAACATTACATGAGACCTAACCCTAAAGATTAACCCTAGATGCCCTTCCCTTGAATAGACCCTAAGGAGGCTCTGAGAGGGGCCCTAACAGTATGTTCAACAGGATCATACTTTCTGTTGTATTGCAGTTTTGTACTCCTATCCTTGAAGATAGACAGTCATCAAAATTATAGACACCTCAGGCCCTACAAAACCTGGATCTGCTTTAATAGATTTTAGTGTTGTGAAGACTTTGGAATCAGAAGACCTGGCCCCGGCCGGGCACGGTGGTTCACGCCTGTAATCTCAGCACTCTGGGAGGCTGAGGTGGGTGGATCACCTGAGGTCAGGAGTTCAAGATCAGCCTGGCCAACATGGCCAAACCCTGTCTCTACTAAAAAATGCAAAAAAAAAAAAAAAAAAAAAAATAGGCCTAGGCCGGGCACGGTGGCTCACGCCTGTAATCCCAGAACTTTGGTAGGCTAAGGCAGGTGGAACACCTGAGGTCAGGAGTTTGAGACCAGCCTGAGCAACATGGAGAAACCCTGTCTCTACTGAAAATACAAAATTAGCCGGGCGTGGTGGCGCATGCCTGTAATCCTGGGAGGTGGAGGTTGTGGTGAGCTGAAATCACGCCATTGCACTCCAGCCTGGTCAACAAGAGCAAAACTCCATCTAAATAAGTAAATAAATAAATAAATAAATAGGCCAGGGGCAGTGGCTCATGCCTGTAATCCCAGCACTTTGGGAGGCTGTGGCGGGCGGATCACGGGGTCAGGAGTTCGAGACCAGCCTGACCAACATGGTGAAACCCCGTCTCTACTAAAAATACAAAAATTAGCCTGGCGTGGTGGCATGCACCTGTAATCCCAGCTACTCAGGAGGCTGAGGTTGGAGAATCGCTTGAACCCAGGAGGCAGAGGTTGCAGTAAGCCGAGATGGTGGCACTGCACTCCAGCCTGGGTGACAGAGCGCAAAAAGAAAAAAAAAAAAAAAAAGATCTGGTCCCATAACTGCTATCTGTGTTATTCTGGGCAATTAATTCACTGAACTTCCCTGGGCTTTAGTTTCCTCGCCAGATAAATTAAAAATAATACCTACTAGCCTGAACTGTTGTGTTAATCAAATGAGATAGTATCTGCAGAAGTAATTGGTAAAACTTGGAAAGTGTTCTGTATTCATGAATTAATGTCATAATTTGTCTAAAGTAGATAAAAGGGAAAAATTAAAAGCAACTACCAGGCTCTTACCTGGAAAAATAGAAACACGGTGGGTGGGTGAGCTGGTGAAAATAATAAAATAATACAGGTAAAATCCTTGCTCTTCTGCCAGGTTTTTTTCCTGATTTGAGGCACACGACATTGAAGAAATGAACTAGGGAGCATAGGATGAGAAATCAGAGTGGAGAGGAAATTGGAGATCATCTAAGGCACTCCTGACTTTTTACAGAAATGGAAATTAAGGCCCAGGGATGCTAAAAGACTTGTCTGAGGCCTCCCATCTAATGATTGGCATGATCAGAAACTCCAGTTTCTTTAAGTATAAAGAACAAGTACAACCTTTAAGATAAAATATTTTGTCATGGGGGTCTTTCAGAATCATTACATCAGAACCAGAGAAGGCCTGGTACTCTCTACTGGCTTTTAGCTTTATCACAAAATTCTTAGGATTCACCTTTCTGTTTTAAAGGTTGATAGACTGGATGCTGCTATGGTAATCTGCCTCAGGAAAATGCCGGACTGTTGTTTGCAAGCTGGTTAAGTGAGCAAATCTTGGGAAGATTTCAAGGTAAGAGTTGTAACTTCGGAAGTTAGTGATGCAATAAGAAATGCAAATGCAAACTTCAAAAATTATGATATAGGTACTCTTTAAGCTGAGTAAGTTGCTCTATTGCGTTATCTGAAAAAAGAAAGATGAAATTACAGTGTGTTCTCTGGAATTCACCTACTTAACTTACATTCTTTCAGTTACTTCACCATTTCTGTGATGTAGTAGATAGGAAGGTGCTATTTTGCCCATTTTAGTAACAATAAACAATACAGGAAAGGATTCTTCTTTTAATTGACACATTGTAATTGTACATATTCTAGGTTACAGTTTTGGTGTTTCCATACATACAAATGTTGTATACTGATCAAATCAGGGTACTTAGCATATCTCTCACCTCATGCTATTTTGTAATATACAATACCTTATTGTTAACAGCAACCCTACTGTGCAATAAAACACCAGAACTTATTCTTCCAATCTAATTGTCACTTTGTACCTGTTGACCAACCTCTCCCTATCCTCCTTTCCTCTCTCCCCTTTCTAGTCTCAGATAACCACTGTTCTCTCTGCTTCTAAGATATAAACTCTTTCTTTAAAAAAAATTAGATTCCACAGATCATACAGTATTTATCTTTCTGTGTCTGGCTTATTTCACTTAACATAATGTCCTCCAGGTTTAACCGTATTTTCACAAATGGCAAGATTTCATGCTTTTTTACAGCTGTATAATATTCTGTAATCCATATGTACCACATTTTCTCTTTTTTTCCTTTTTCTTTTTCTTTTTTTTTTTTTTTTGAGACTGAGTCTCGCTGTGTTCCCCAGGCTGGAGTGCGGTGGTGCAATCTCAGCTTACTGCAACCTCCGCCTCCCAAATTCAAGCAATTCTTCTGCCTCAGCCTCCCAAGTAGCTGGGATTACAGGCGCCTGCCACCACGCCTGGCTAATTTTTGTATTTTTAGTAGAGACGGGGTTTCACCATATTACTCAGGCTGGTCTGGAACTCCTGACCTCAAGTGACCCACCCACCTCGGTCTCCCAAAGTGCTGGGATTACAGGCATGAGCCACCGTGCCCGGCCTCACATTTTCTTTATTCATTCATTCACTGTTAGATGTTTGGGTTGATTCCATATCTTGGTTATTGTAAATAGTGCTGCAGTAAACATAGGAGGGCAGATACCACTTCAATGTAACTGATTTCATTTCCTTTGAATATATAGCCACTAGTGGGACTCCTGGCTCACACAGTAGTTCTATTTTTAATTTTTTGAGGAAAAAATTTTCAACAAAGGTGCCAAGAACACACACTGGGGAAAAGATAGTCTCTTAAATAAACGTTGCTGGGAAAATTGGAAAGTCACATGCAGAAGAATAAGACTAGACCCTGTCTCCACCATATACACAAATCAACTCAAAATGGATTAAAGACTGTCTTCTATAGCTGCTGTACTAATTTGTAATTCCACCAAAAATGTGCAAGTGTTGTCTTTTCTCCACATCCTTGCCAACAGTTGTTTTTTTTGTTTTGTTTTGTTTTTTAAGACAGAGACAGAGTCTCACTGTGTCACTCAGGCTGGAGTGCAGTGGTGCAATCTCGGCTCATTGCAACCTCTGCTTCGTGGGTTCAAGCAATTCTCCTGCCTCAGCCTCCGAGTAGCTGGGACTATAGGCATGTGCCACCATACCTGGCTAATTTTTGTATTTTTAGTAGAGTCGGGGTTTCACTATGTTGGCCAGGCTGGCCTTGAATTCCTGACCTCAAGTTATCCACCTGCCTCAGCCTCCCAAAGTGCTGGGATTACAGGCATGAGCCACCACGCAGCCTGTCTGTTTGTTAATAGCCATTCTAACTAGAGTGAGATGATATCTCATTGTGATTTTGATTTGCATTTGCCTGATGATTAGGGATGTTGAGGATTTTTTCATGTAACTGTTGGCCAGGCTGGCCTTGAATTCCTGACCTCAAGTGATCCACCTGCCTCAGCCTCCCAAAGTGCTGGGATTACAGGCATGAGCCACCACGCAGCCTGTCTGTTTGTTAATAGCCATTCTAACTAGAGTGAGATGATATCTCATTGTGATTTTGATTTGCATTTGCCTGATGATTAGGGATGTTGAGCATTTTTTCATGTACCTGTTGGCCATTTGTATGTCTTCTTTTGAGAAATGCCTATTAAGGTCTTTTGCCCACTTTTAAATTAAGATAATTTGTTTTTCATTGTTGAATTAAGTTATTATATATTCTTCAGATATTAACTCCTTGTGAGATGTATAGTTTGCTTATATTTTCTTCCATTCTGTAGATTTTCTCTTCATTTTGTTGTTTCCTTTTTAAGTACAAAAGCTTTTCAGTTTGATGTAATCCCATTGGTCTATTTTTTGCTTTTGTTGTCTGTGCTTTGAGATCTCTTTTTAAAAACCCTTGCCCAACCCGGTGTTGCAAAGCATTTCCCTTATGTTTTCTTTTAGTAATTTCATAGTTTCAAGTTTTATATATAAGTCTTTAATCCATTTTGAGTTGATTTGTGTATATAGTGGAGACAGGGTCTAGTCTTAGTCTTCTGCATGTGACTTTCCAATTTTCCCAGCACCATTTATTGAAGAAACTGTCTTTTTCCCAGTGCATGTTCTTGGCACCTTTGTTGAAAAACAGTTGGCCATAGATGCATGAATTTATTTCTGGGTTCTTTATTCTCTTTCATTGGTCTCTGTGTTTGTGTTTATGCCAATACCATGCTGTTTTGGTTACTATAGCCTTGTAGTACATTTTGCAATCAAGTACTGTGATGCCTCAGCTTTGTTATTTTTGCTCAGGATTGATTTGCCTATTTGAGTCTTTTGTGGCTCCATGTGAATTTAATGATTGTCTTTTTTTTTTTTTTTTTTTTTTTGAGACGGAGTTTTGCTCTTGTTGCCCTGGCTGGAGTGCAATGGCACAATCTCGGCTCACCGCAGCCTCTGCCTCCCAGGTTCAAGTGATTCTCCTGCCTCACCCTCCCTAGTAGCTGGGATTACAGGCATGCGCCATCATGCCTGGCTAATTTTGTATTTTTAGTAGAGACAGGGTTTCTCCATGTTGGTCAGGCTGGTCTCGAACTCCCGATCTCAGGTGATCCGCCCTCCTCTGCCTCCCAAAGTGCTGGAATTACAGAGTGAGCCACCGCGCCTGGCTGTCTTTTTTATTTCTGTGAAATATATTATAGGTATTTGATAGAGATTATATTTAGTTTGTAGATCACTTTGGGTAGTATGAGTGTTTTAACAATACTAATTCTCCCATGAACATGAAACGTCTTTCCATTCATTTGTGTCTTCTTCAATTTCTTTCATCAAGGTTTTATAGTTTTTCAGTTTAGAGATCTTTAACCTCCTTGGTTAAGTTTATTCTTTTTTTTTTTTTTTTTTTTTTGCAGCACACCAACATGGCACATGTATACATATGTAACAAACCTGCACATTGTGCACATGTACCCTAAAACTTAAAGTGTAACAATAATAAAATTTTTTTAAAAAAGTTTATTCTTAAGTATCTTATTTTTGTGTAGTTATTGTAAATGGAATTATCTTCCTGATTTCTTTTAGGAAAGGATTCTTTTTAAACAATATTTTGTCATTAAGAACACTGCCCCCCCCTCATAATATATAATAATTTAATAGGGAATATGGAAAATGTGATTTGCTTTTGAACCATGTTTGAAAAAAGGTTTGCTAAACAAATACCTGGAGTAAAGAAGATAATGCCAATCCTAAAGACATTCTTTCTTTAAAGTTGAGAGCCCTCTCATTCAGAATATCATCATCTAATTTCAGGTTATATGTCAGGTGTAGTCCTACTGCTTTCAAAGGCCTATGTCTGGATCTAGGATGAATTTTGCCATTCTTTAAAGAAAGACTAACTCGGTATTCGTGAGATGCACTCTAAGCTCCTCCCTGACCTCCCCCGTTTCTCTTCAGCTCTCTTTGCTCTGTTTTGACCTATCACTTATCTTACCAGCTTGCACCAGTTTAGTATCCTAATCAGTTACTTCTCTGGCACTCTACTGACATGGCATGGCGCAGTCAAAATAGTTTGCTAGAAAACAAAATGTTTGCAATAAAAATGTCTTCAACATGACAAATAAGTCAAAAATTATTGTTTCCAACTGCTGGTTTTTTGTATGTTTAGTTATTCTGGTGGCCAGGGATTTGCTTTATTGCTTCTTTGGGCCTTTGAGAATTTTTTTGTGCACACACAGACACACACACACACACACATATATATATGTTTCTTAAGGAATCATATTGTACATACTGTTTCTTTCCACTAACACGGAATCTCACTCTGTCTGCCAGGCTGGAGTGCAGTGGCGAGATCTCAGCTCACTGCAACCTCGGCCTCCCGGGTTCAAGCGATTCTCCTGCCTCAGCCTCCCAAGTAGCTAGGCTTACAGGGGCGTGCCACCATGCCCGACTGATTTTTGTATTTTTAGTAGAGACAGGGTTTCACCATGTTGGCCAGGCTAGTCTTGAACCCCTGACCTCAGATCCACCCGCCTCGGCCTCCCAAATTGCTGGGATTACAGGCGTGAGCCACCACGCCTGGCCGCTGTTTACTACTTTTTAAATATTTGCAGGCTGGGCGTGGCAGCTCACGCCTGTAATCCCAGCACTTTGGAAGGCTGAGGCAGGTGGATCACGAGGTCGGGAGTTTCAGACCAGCCTGGCCAAAGTGGTGAAACCCCGTCTCTACTAAAAATACAAAAATTGGTGGCGGGTGCCTGTAATCCCAGCTACTCGGGAGGCTGAGGCAGAGAATTGCTTGAACCCGGGAGGCAGAGGTTGTAGTGAGCTGAGATGGCGCCACTGCATTCCAGCCTGGGCGACAGCGAGCCTTTGTCTCAAAAAATATATATATATATATATTTGCAATGGCTTGATAATATGAAACATTTACGTTGCTTCTTAATAATTATCTAAGAATTAATTTAGATTAAAAAGCACAAAAGTTTGAAACATACCTAAAATATTATGATAATCTGACAGTACTGCTTTAAAACTTTAAAGGTGGCAAAACAATCCATATGGAAAACAAGCAGCTGAGAATATTCCTTTTTGACCCATTTATCTTCAAATTCAATTTGTTTTCCTTTTTTTTTTTTTTTTTGAGATGGAGTCTTGCTCTGTCGCCCAGGCTGGAGTGCAGTGGCGCGATTTTGGCGCACTGCAAGCTCGGCCTCCCAGGTTCACGCCACTCTCCTGCCTCAGCCTCCTGAGTAGCTGGGACTACAGGCACCCACCACCACGTAGAGATGGAGTTTCACCATGTTAGCTAGGATGGTCTCGATCTCCTGACCTCGTGATCCTTCCACCTTGGCCTCCCAAAGTGCTGGGATTACAGGCGTGAGCCACTGCACCCGGCCAAATTAAATTTGTTTTTAACCAGATTACCTGAGGCTCAATCTATGTCATCCTAATTCCCACTCTGGTCTGATATGGCTTGACTCCTGTTCCTTGTTTTTGCTAGCCCAGGGGGATAGTTTTGACCTGTGCTCTTTGTAATGTACATCATCGCTATTTAGGATCTTTTCTAGGAAGCATTCTTTCTAGAGATGGTCCTATGTATTTGCCAGACCTGTTTTCTTCCTTGACCCCTAGCTACTAAAAGTCCTAACCCTGAGTAGCTTCCCCACCTCCCTCTTTTCCTCCCTCCCTTCCCTCCTTTCTTCCTTCCATCTCTAGTAAAGTATTTTAGGCAAATGGGATGGGGAGTTCAATAATAACAATAATAAATTGATGATAGCCAAGATTTCTGGGATACTTACCATATGCCAAGCATTGCTCTAAGCACTTTAGATGTAGTAACACTCATTAATTCCTCACAAAAATGCTATAAACTAGGAACTGTTACAATCCCCATTTTACAGACATATACAGATACAGAGAGGTTAAGTAGCTTCCCCAAGGTCACATAATCAGTATTGTCTCGAGTCATCAGAAAGTAGTCATCATGGCCGGGCAAGTTGTCTCACGCCTGTAATCCCAGCACTTTGGGAGGCCAAGGCAGATGGATCACGAGGTCAGGAGTTTGAGACCAGCCTGGCCAACATAGTGAAACCCTGTCTCTACTAAAAATACAAAAATTAGCCAGATGTGGTGGCAGGCACCTGTAGTCCCAGATACTTGGGAGGCTGAGGCAGGAGAATGGCTTGAACCTGGGAGGGAAGGTTTACAGTGAGCTGAGACCGCACCATCACACTCCAGCCTTGGCAACAGAGCAAGACTCTGCCTGAAAAAAAAAAAAAAAAGAAAGTAGTCATCATTTAGTTTTCACCAAAAATACACAAGTAGAAATTGTCATTTTTAGCTATTAATACCATAGGAGACTAATCCATAGAATTTAAGGCCATCTTGACTTAGAAAAACCCTGTTTTGGGTTCCTTTTATGTTAGTAGAGCAAAACAACCATTATGAAAGCATGTGCCATGAAAGGTGCCTTTGAAACCAGAGATTCACCACAGAGAACTACCCCTTGCTTATCTGAATTTGGGGTAGTTATCAGTCTCTAGTCAGCTAAGTTGGGGACAAAGATGATGGGACATGGTTTTGTTAGCAGCTTATCTATTTATTTATTTATTTATTTTTTGAGATGGAGTTTCACTCTTTCACCCAGGCTGGAGTGAAGTGGTGCAATCTCGGCTCACTGCAACGTCCGCCCCCTCGGTGGGTTCAAGCAATTCTCCTGTGTCAGCCTCCAAAGCAGCTGGGATTACAGGCGCATGCCACCACACCAGGCTGATTTTTGTATGTTTAGTAGAGATGGGATTTCACCATGTTGGCCAGGCTAGTCTTGAACTTCTGACCTCAGGTGATCCACCCACCTCAGCCTCCCAAAGTGCTGCAATTACAGGTGTGAGTCACCACGCCCAGCCAACTAACAGCTTAATTTTAAGGTCACCTATTTCTAGGAAGTTCTGGGTGTCCTGGTCCCCATATTCCATGCTATAAGATCATTCAGTGTGAGAACCTGGACTTTATAGCCCTCACCCAAAGCAGCAGCAGATAGTTGGAATTATTGGACAGCTGCACATCAAGCCTACTGTGATTCAGCTGAGGGGTGCATGCAGCGAAGGAGGCCTCTAACATCACAGTGACTGGCTTTGTGTATCCATCTGCCTGGGGATCCAGACCTGGGTGTTCTACCTGGACCTTCATACTGCTGCACTGGTGAGCAAGATGAGGCTTAAATAAAGCATACTATTCAATTTGTGGTGACCTCTGAGAACCCCAAATCTGCCATGAATCCCTGCACCACACAATACCTGTGACACCTGTGCCAAGGTGAGGTCCAGTAGCTACCAAACCTACTTCTGAGCTGCATATTAGAGTGAAGCCTTCCTCCCTACCCTCCCTCTGTCTTACCTTTTGCACAAATCATGGGTTCAGATGTTATACCTATTATTGCACTCTGATAAGTTTTTTTTTTTTTTTTTTTTGCAGTCATGGAATAAGGCCATACCCTGTGGGTAGGGTATAAAGGTTTCCCTCTATATAGTAGGTGTTCTTATTATCAGTCATTCAAAGAAAAAGAGAATCCTCACCAGAAAATCTTGGAACATAGAACAGATGGAAGGTGGCACTTCTGGATATGCCTTTTTACATCTGAACTTGGAAGAGTTAAGAATTGTTGAAGGCCCTTCTCACTGATCAGGGGAAATAGCTTCTGTCACAGAGCTGCCTACTCCAGGAGAACCAAAAATGAAAGTAAACACTCATATTTTGTAAGTCTGTTCCTCAACTTCCATCAATCAAGTTTAATCTAAATCAAGGATTCAAACTGAGAAGCATTTAAGGACCAAGAAAAAGTTAATTAGCCCAGTATAAGTCAACAAGAAATGGTAAGCAGTATGGAGGAAAAGAAGTGCCACACCCTTCTAGGCATCCAAATTCAAGCATTTACAATGTACTTCATGAAGCAGTACCCTATACAGCACTAATAACAGCCCAAACTTGCTTGACATTTCTACATAACACATTATTCATTAATTCAGAAGAAAAATAGAATTCTTAAAACTCCTAACTTTATTTTTAATTAATATAAAGGAGGAACCAACAACAACAAAAAATTGTGTGGGAGTTAGAAAATAAGGACTAGGCGCCTGGGCGCGGTGGCTCACGCCTGTAATCCCAGCACTTTGGGAGGCCGCGGTGGGCAGAACACGAGGTCAGGAGATTGAGGCCATCCTGGCTAACACGGTGAAACCCCGTCTTTACTAAAAAATAGAAAAAATTAGCTGGGCGTGGTGGCGGGCGCCTGTAGTCGCAGCTACTCTGGAGGCTTGAGGCAGGAGAATGGCGTGAACCTGGGAGGCGGAGCTTGCAGTGAGCCAAGATCGCGCCACTACACTCCAGCCTGGGCGACAGAGCGACACTCTGTCTCAAAAAAAAAAAAAGGAAAAAAAGGACTAGGCAGGCAGATGTGGGGTGGGGCAAACAAAACATGGCAGCCAGCAGACCAGTCTATTTCAGCATAGTCTCTGCTGCAGTATTTAAGAAATAGGTAGAGCCAGCCAGGCGCGGTGGTTCACGCCTGTAATCCCAGTACTTTGGGAGGCCGAGGCGGGCGGATCACCTGAGGTCTGGAGTTCGAGACCAGCCTGACCAACATGGAGAAACCGCGTCTCTACTAAAAATACAAAATTAGCCAGGCGTGGTGGCACAGGCCTGTAATCCCAGCTACTTGGGAGGCTGAGGCAGGAGAATCACTTGAACCCAGAAGGCGGAGGTTGTGGTGAGCCCAGATCGTGCCATTGCACTCCATCCTGGGCAACAAGAGTGAAATTCCCCATCTCAAAAACAAAGAGATAGGTAGAGCTGGCCGTGGTGGCTCACGCCTGTAATCCCAGAAGGCTGAGTTCGGTGGATCACTTGAGATCAAGAGTTTGAGACTAGCCTGGCCAACATGGTGAAACCCCATCTCTGCTAAAAAAAAAAAAAAAAATACAAAAATTAGTCGGGCATGGTGGCAGGCATCTGTAATCGCAGCTACTTGGGAGGCTGAGGCAGGAGAATCGCTTGAACCCCAGAGGCAGAGGTTGCAGTGAGTTGAGATCGCGTCACTGCAGTCCAACGACAGAGTAAGACTCTGTCGCAAAAAAAAAAAAAAAAAAAAAGTAGAAAGCAGAACGCTTCTTCCCGGTGCCAAGGGGGATTTATGAAAGATCCCCAAGGAAGAGTTGAATATCAGAATGAGGGTCATTTTGGCAGTCCCATCCCTGTATGGAGACAGTCCTTTCGTTGTTACTTTTGGCAGATGAGGATTTGAGTTTAAGAGACCTGGTTGGGGGGGAGGGGGGAGGGATAGCTTTGGGAGATATACCTAATGCTAAATGACGAGTTAATGGGTGCAGCACACCAGCATGGCACATGTATACATATGTAACCAACCTGCACATTGTGCACATGTACCCTAAAACTTAAAGTATAATAATAATAAAATAAAAAAAAAAGAGAGACCTGGTGGATTTCCGTACAACTTCATAATTTCCCCCTATCCAAGACCCATGGTTCCATTTTTGTCACCGTGGCCACAGTGGCTGAAATGGCTCACTTCATCTTTTGCACTAAACAGCCTTCAGCCCCACACTGCACCGCTAAATGGACAAGTTCTTTTTTCCCTAGTGTCTTAAATTCATGGCCTCAGTCTGAGGCCTTTAGTTTTATACTGCTTTGGGAGAGTCCTCTTTACAGTCTTAGAGATATACATATACCTCTTACTGTTTACCACCACTAATTTAATAGCAAGAAAGAAACTGGAAATCTTGTAGGAATACTCTGTTCCTTTTTTTGTTTTTTGAGACGAAGTCTCACTCTTGTCACCAGGCTGGAGTGCAATGGCGCAATCTTGGGATCTTGGTTCACTGCAACCTCTGCCTCCCAGGTTCAAGTAATTCTCCTGCCTCAGCCTCCCCAGTAACTGGGATTATAGGTGCCTGCCAACACGCCTGGCTAATTTTTATATTTTTAGTAGAGACGAGGTTTCACCATGTTGGCCAGGCTGGTCTCGAACACCTGAACTCAGGTTATCTGCCTGCCTCGGCCTCCCAGTGTGCTGGGATTACAAGTGTGAGCCACTGCGCCTGGCCAAGGAACACTCTTTGTTCTATGCTACCTACTAGGACAGCTAGTCTACTCAGTTACCCCAAAACCAAAAGGATAGTAACTCAACAAGCTCAGAATACACCATTCTGCTTGCAGCCATTGTTTTCACCACTACCCCATTTCCCCCTGCACACATAGCTCATTACCTTGTCACATGTACACTTACTATAGTCACAGCAGGAGCTAGAATCTGGAGATGTTACATGCCACACAAGAGGTCAGTGAGAAGCACAAAACCATACATTGCAAATGGGTAACATATCAGTGTAGCCATCCAAGCAGAGGATTAGGTATGGCCTTCATCTCATGTTCCCATTAGGCTCAGATGGGCTAGATAATGGGGTTTTGCTCCTGTTTCCAATTCAAAGATAGTCAACCTGGGAGCTTTCTAACTCTATCATATGTATTTCATTTGTTTCACCAGTTACTCATTTGATCAACCCAGGGAAGACCATATCATGAATGAAACACAGCCCAAGTATGCTTTAACCATAACGTGGGAGTGCATAATTCAGGCTACCAAGACCATTTAACAGAATCCAGTGGAATGAGGGAAGTCTGGACTACAGGAGTTAGTGGGGGAATTCTCAGTCACTGCAACCATGCTTCTAAACAAAGGCCTTCACCAAGAACCTAGGGCAATCTTATTCCATCTGCCAGAACTTATAGGGATATCACTAAATTATGCTTAGTCAAAATTGGGTAATTTGTAGTTTATAAATACTATAAAACTGATATTTAAATCTAGGTCTACTTAATTCCTAGCTTCTGTTCTTAAGTGCTAGATTATTTTGATTCATTTATTTTGTTCAAAATCTTGACGTTATAGGAAAGGATGGGGATGAGGAGGATGATGAGGCAGGAAAATGCAGAACTGTTTCATAGTCCCAGCGCTGAACCTTTGTACAGGCTGTTTCTTCTTCATATAAAGCACTTCTTGGCCAGGCGTGGTGGCTCACACCTATAATCCCAGCTCTTTGAGAGGCTGAGGTGGGCGGGTCACTTGAGGTCAGGAGTTCGAGACAAGCATGGCCAACATGGTGAAACGCAATCTCTACTAAAAATACAAAAAAATTAGCCCGATGTGGTAGTGTGCCTGTAGTCCCAGCTACTTGGGGGGCTGAGGCAGGAGAATCGTTTGAACCAGGGAGGCAGAGGTTGCAGTGAGCCGAGATCGTGCCACTGCACTCTAGCCTGGGTGACAGAGCGAGACTCCATCTCAAAAAAATAAACAAATTAAAAAAATAAAAAGCACTTCTTCCTTCCACTTGATAAACTGTGTGCAGAATAACATGGAGATGGAGGAGAGGCAGGTAGATTAAGGGGGAGCAGTTTTAGTAATTCTATGATTCAGACCTCTTTTTAATTCAGCTTTCCTGCTAATTAATGTAAATTAGTAAGGTTTCTGCTGGGCGCAGTGGCTCATGCCTGTAATCCCAACACTTTGGGAGGCCAAGGCGGGTGGATCACGAGGTCAAGAGATCGAGACCATGCTGGCTAACATGGTGAAACCTCGTCTCTACTAAAAATACAAAAAAAAATTCGCCAGGCGTGGTGGCAGGCGCCTGTAGTCCCAGCTACTCAGGAGGCTGAGGCAGGAGAATGGCGTGAACCTGGGAACCAGAGCTTGCAGTGAGCCGAGATCACACCTCTGCACTCCAGCCTGAGCGACATAGTGAGACCCCGTCTCAAAAAAAAAAAAAATTAATAAGGTTTCATAATTATTATATTTACCAACCAGGTTCTTTCTACATAATTATTGTTTACCTTCTAATAAATTACTTACAAAGGCCACCTACAAATCCAAATTATATACAAAACGTTTCATTTCCTATTTCCTTCCCAGGGATGCATAATTATTTTGGAAAAATCAGTGGCAGCTGGGCACGGTGGCTCATGCCTGTAATCCCAGCACTCTGGGAGGCCAAGGCAGGCGGATCCATCTGAGGTCAGGAGTTCAAAACCAGCCTGGCCAACATAGTAAAACCCCATCCTTACTAAAAATACAAAAATTAGCTGGGCGTTCTGGTGCACGCCTATAGTCCCAGCTACTCAGGAGGCTAAGGCAGGAGAATCGCTTGAACCCAGGAGGCAGAGATCGCAGTGAGCTGAGATGGTGCCACTGCACTCCAGCCTGGGTGACAGAGCGAGACTGTCTCTTAGGAAAAAAAAAAAAAAAATCATTGGCTTGTAAGTTAAAATCTTTATCTTGCTCTACCTTCTCTGGAATACCTACATCTCTGATGTTTTTTTAACATTACATATTCACAAGCTTTACCAATTCATGGAAAGGATTCCTCTAGGATTTTGGTGGATCTCTTGAAGCACTAAGAACCTCAAGCAAAAATGTATGCAATCTTTGTACTTTAAAATTAAAGCATTTCAACCAGGAGCAGTGGCTCATGCCTGTAGTCCCAGCGCTTTGGGAGGCCAAGGCAGGATGATTGCTTGAGCCTTGGAGTTTGAGACTAGTCTGGCCAACATAGCCAGACCCCGTTTCTTTAAAAGAAAAAAAAAAACAATTAGCTGCATGTGGTGGCACACATGTAGTATCAGCTTTGGGAGGCCCAGATGGGAAGATTGCTTGATCTCAGGAGGTTGAGGCTGCAATGAGCTATGATCATGCCACTGCACTCCAGCCTGGGTGATAGAGCAAGACCCTGTCTCAAAAAAAAATTTTTTTAATAGATAAACATTCAGGCATTCCAAACTCCTAATGTATTGTCTACTATTAAGAATGCATGCTGGCTGAGGCAGGAGTTCAAGACCAGCCTGGCCAACGTGATGAAACCCCATATCTACTAAAATACAAAAATTAGCTGGGCCAGGTGGTGGGTACCTGTAATCCCAGCTACTCAGGAGGCTGAGGCAGGAGAATGTCTTGAACCCGGGAGGCAGAGATTGCAGTGAGCCGAGATCTCGCCACTGCATTCCAGCCTGGGCAACAGAGTAAGACTCCATCTCCAAAAAAAAAAAAAAAAAAAAAAAAAAGAATCTCTGGAATTTAA
This sequence comes from Homo sapiens, assembly GCF_000001405.40. Lineage (NCBI taxonomy): Eukaryota > Metazoa > Chordata > Mammalia > Primates > Hominidae > Homo > Homo sapiens. The sequence continues at coordinate 64,283 of NW_009646196.1, forward strand.
CATTCCTTTAAACTTAAAAAATAAGAAAAAATAAATTAAAAAAAATTAGAAGAATGCATGCTGGGGTCTGCTCAGTGATTCACAAGGCAGGAAATCTCTTGAGCCAAGGAGTTTGAGACCAACCTGGGCAAAGTGGCAAGACCCTGTCTCTACAAAAAAATTAAAAATTAGCAGGGCATGGTGGCACACTTCTGTTGTCCTAGCTACTTGGGAGGCTGAGGCAGGAGAGTCATTTGGGCTCATGTGTTTGAGGTTACACTGAGCTTTGATCACACCACTGCGCTCCAGACTGGGCAACAGAGCAAGACCTTATCTCAAGAAAACAAACAAAAAGAGAATTCAGGGCTGGGGGCAGTAGCTCACACCTGTAATCCCAGCACCTTGGGAGGCCAAGGCAGGCAGATGACTTGAGGTTAGGAGTTTAAGACCAGCCTGGCCAACATAGTGAAACCCTGTCTGTACTAAAAATACAAAAATTAGCTGGGTGTGGTGGCAGGCGCCTTTAATCCCAGCTACTTCGGTGGCTGAGGAAGGAGAATCGCTTGAGCCCAGGAGGTAGAGGTTGCAGTGAGCCAAGATCGTGACACTACTCCAGCCTGGACGACAGAGCGAAACTCTGTCTGAAAAAAGTTCAGGTGGGAGGATCCCTTGAGGACAGGAGTTTAAGACCAGCCTGGGCAATGTAGCAAGACCTTGTCTCTTAAAAAAAAAAAAAAAAAGAATGCAAAAGCCATAGAACCTTTTCCTAGGAGAGAATGCTAGGAGGAAGGAGGGAAACAGTATATTTTAAGGTAAATAAGAAAGGCCTAATGCCCCGTGGTTAGATTTTTCTATCTACATATTGGAGATAAGTTTAAATTTTGTGTTAGTGTTTGGGTATTACTTCCTGCCAACGTGAAAAGTTAACCTTTCTAAGACAATCTCTACTAAGAATTTGGACTTTTTCAAGATTTTTGCCTACTTCTTTCAAAGAGATTGCAAAACGATTTTAACTCACTAAAGAACATTTTTCACCTCTTGATTGTCCAGTACAAGTGTAGTACAGTTCTTTTTTTATGTATCCTCCCTTTGTTTTTATAGACTGGAAGGTATCCAGAAATAAGGCATTCAGAAATGGAGGCACACATAGATGAAGGCAAAGGCCATTCCTATGAAGGCAGGTCTGTAGGCAGCTGGTTATTTGTTTTTCTCAGCCTCTCTTGGCATTCTACCTTCATCTGGAAAAAAATTTAAAAAGGAGGATACTTTATAGGTCCTGTCTCAAGTATCTGACTTCCCTGGGAAGCTTGATTCTCACATTCAAAATACATGGGGAGTTTGGTTCAGTTAAATTTTATCACACCAGAATTGTTGAAAAGCAATAAATTATTACTGTATAATTGGTGCCTGTTTGTTATCTTAGGTATTGTTATTTCTGTTTTTAACTTGTTTGGAAAACCATAGACCATAAACTTTTCTGAACGTTCGATGCAGAGCTCCAACCGAACTAGCAAAGAACATTTCCTCAAAGAAACGGAGTATTTTTTTCTGTAACAATGTAACTTTCTGTCTTTCATTCTTCAAAATGTATCACTATAAATTTCCTACAAAAAGAGCTATTTCTTCTCTCAGTATCATACAGATTGATTTGTATAGATGTATATGTATGGCTGTTAAATTGTTTGTTGGTATAAAATGGTGAGTGTCAGTATAATAATGATGATAATAAATAGCGGCTAACATTTAAAGCGCATACTCTGTTCCAGGCACCGTTGTAAGCATTTTACATCGAGTTGCTCAATCTAAAACCACTTTTATCTGGTTGTCTTTATTTATCTAGCAAAACTTTTAAGAATCTATGCTGCAATAAATTCCACAACTCAGCCTTCATCTTCCCAACAAAAATAACTAGAATTCCAGTGTTTTCTCTTTATCAGTTTGTCTTCAGGAAACCGTCAACATTTTAGAACCATGCTAGTCCCCAGGACTTGATCTGAATATACAATAGGTAGCTGCATTGCCTATCTTAGGACATAGACCAGTAAACAAAATCAAAGGTAACTTTGCACTTAGTATAAGCCCTTGATGTTAGCTTCACTGAAGTAGGAGAGGCAATAAAAATGTTGACTTGAAGTCTGCTCTACCTTTCACCATCTTTCAGAAAAATGTTGATCAGGACTAGCCTCCTCAGCAAATGTAGGCATATATAAAAATATATTTCTTCATCCTTTATGATGTAATAAAGACTAATGGCTTAGACTTAGAAATCTAACAAAGTGACAATAGTTTTTTTCTCCCAATTCAGACCTATTTCTGTTCTTAAAAAGACATTTAAGCCAGGCACAGTGGCTCACGCCTGTAATCCCAGCACTTTAGGAGGCCGAGGTGGGCGAATCACAAGGTCAGGAGTTCGAGACCAGCCTGGGCAACATGGTGAAACCCCATCTACAGTGAGCCGAGATTGCACCACTGTACTCCAACCTGGATGACAGAGTGAGACTCCAGCTCAAAGAAAAAAAAAGACATTAAGTCTCATACAGTTATGAAATTTCACAATTCCAGAAAGCTTTAGTAATCAAAATATAGATTTAAGACACTTATTCAGTCATTTCACTTAATTCATCCATCTATTCATTTATTCATTCATTCCATCTTTATTGAATACCTACTATGTGCAGTGCAGTTACTCCAATCTTATCCAACATTGGACTACTAATTAGTAAGATTTTTGTAATTCTGTTTTTAAATTATTCCTTTACATGGGACAAAATTCAAAAGGTATATATATACAATGAAAAGGAAATCTTGCACCCAGTTCCCCAGCCATTCACCTCACCTCCTCAAACAACAAGAAAAAGAACAGTGAGGCCAGGCGTGGTGGCTCACACCTGTAGTCCCAGTACTTTGGGAGGTCAAGTGGGCAGATCACAAGGTCAGGAGTTTGAGGCCAGCCTGACCAACATGGTAAAACCCCGTCTCTACTAAAAATACAAAAATTAGCTGGGCGTGGTGGCGTGCACCTGTAATCCCAGCTACTCAGGAGGCTGAGGCAGAAGAATCGCTTGAACCCGGGAGGCAGAGGTTGCAATGAGCCGAGATTGGATCACTGCACTCCAGCCCGTGCAACAGAGTAAGACTCTGTCTCAAAAAAAAAAAAAAAAATTAAAAGAGTTATAATAAATACAGGCTTAGAAAAGAATAAAGTCTCAGAACAAGGTAAAGGGGCAATAAATTATGTGAAGATGTGCATTGTTATTTAACACATGGCTAACATGTTACAAGTTGTTCTTTTGAATGGTCAACTATCAACAATAACCTGCTTAGCCAGTAAGTCAGAGCCCAGCAAGGGGGTTCTGTAGGTTTCCAGTTTTTCTGGATTGGTTTTTCTTCTAAGGGCTAAAAAGTTCTAATGAAGGTAGCCACTTCCAAAGTATTTACCTTTTACTTACCTAGCTAGTAAGCCAATGTTATCTAATGAGTCCAATTCTAGGGATATGCAAGTGAATGTAAATGCTTTTTTCTGCCACCACAGTTTTGATATTCGAATCCTAGTAGTTTTACATTTAAAAATATAATATTGGCCAGGCGCAGTTGCTCATGCCTGTAAACCCAGCACTTTATGAGACCGAGGTAGGCGAATCACTTGAGGTCAGGAGTTCAAGACCAGCCTGGCCAACATGGTGAAACACCGTCTCTACTAAAAATACACACAGAAAAATTAGCCACACGTGGTGGCAGGCACCTGTAATAGCTATTTGGGAGGCTGAGGCAGAAGAATTGCTTGAACCCGGGAGGTGGAGGTTGCCTTGAGCTGCGATTGTGCCACTGCACTCCAGCCTGGGCAACAGAGTGAGACTCCATCTCAAAAAAAAGGAATACTGTCAATGTGCTAATATTCTTCCAATTTGTCCAATATTAACCTACCAATGTTTAAGGTTTGTTAATGTTTCAATGAATAAATTAACCAAGTATTAATCTTTTATTAAAAATATTTTATTGGCTGGGCGTGGTGGCTCATGCCTGTAATTCCAGCACTTTGAGAGGCTGAGGCGGGCAGATCACCTGAGGTCAGCAGTTCAAGACCAGCCTGACCAACATGGAAAAACCCCATCTCTACTAAAAATACAAAATTAGAAGGCGTGGCGTGGCGGCGCACGCCTGTAATCCCAGCTACTCAGGAAGCTGAGGCAGGGGAATCGCTTGAACCCAGGAGGCAGAGGTTGTGGTGAGCCGAGATCACGCCCTTGCACTCCAGCCTGGACAACAAGAGCGAGACTTCGTCTCAAAAAAAAAAAAAAAGCCAGGCCTGATGGCTCACGCCTGTAATCCAAGCACTTTGGGAGGCCTAGGTGGGCGGATCACGAGGTCCAGAGATAGAGACGATCCTGGCCAACATGGTGAAACCTTGTCTCTACTAAAAATACAAAAATTGGGCCAGGCATGGTGGCTCACGCCTGTAATCCCAGCACTTTGGGAGGCTGAGGCAGGCAGATTGCTTGATCCCAGGAATTCAAGACCAGTCTGGGCAACATGGTGAAACCTTCTCTACAAAAATGCAAAAATTAGCCAGGCATGCTGGTGCATGCCTGTATTCCCAGCTACTCGGGATACAGGGAGTCACCTGAGCTTGGGGAGGTCAAGGCTGCAGTGTGCCATGATTGCACCACTGCACTCCAGCATAGGCAACAGAGTAAGACCCTGTCTCAAAACAAAAAGAAAAACAGATTTCAAAACACTAAATAGAAAGTGATCACAATTTTTTTAAAAGAAATATGCATAAAATGAACACAAAGGCAATATTAGATTATAACAAAATCCTTTGGTGATAGGATTATAGGGGGTTATTTATTTCCTTCTTTGTCTCTTCATTTGGATCTTTAAAATGTCAACATGGTGCCATGACTATCTGGAGAAAAAAAGGCAGACATTCTATACAGAGAGAGAGCTATTTTATTTTAAGCATCTGTGATGAGTGATGGAGCATTTCACACACAACAAGGATGAAAAGAGGGAGGGTTTGTCAGATGAAATCATAGAATATTCAACTGGAGGGTGGGTTAGAAATAATTTAATTCAACTTCCTTTGTTTTATATATGAAAAGATTCAAGTTTATCCAAGGCCACACAGGTAATGTTTAGAATCCAGAATAACAATTGGATTTTCTACTTTCCAGGATCTTTAGCTCATCTTTCTTCCTTTCTATTTATGTATAATGCAGGAGCTGGCAAGTAGAGCTCTTTTAAGTCTGAAAAAAGAGATAGAAAATGTTTAGGATAAAGAGAAAGAGAAAAGCTATATCTTAAATAGCATGGTGACATGGCTTTTCTTTTCTTTTTTTTTTTTGGAGACAGGGTCTCGCTCTGTCGCTCACGCTGGAGTGCAGTGGCATGATCATACCCCACTGTAACCTCAAACTCCTAGGCTCAAGCAGTTCTCCCACTTCAACCTTCTGCGGGGCTAGGACTACAGGAAGACACCACCATGCCCAGCTAATTTTTAAAATTTTTTGTAGATAAGGGGACTCACTATGTTTCCCAGGCTTGTCTTGAACTCATAACCTCAATGAATCTTCTTGCCTCGGCCTCCTGAAACATTGGAATTGCAGGCGGGAGCCACTCTGCCCACAGCCTCTTCCTATTTTTGAATTGGCATTTGCCAAAAAAAATAAAATAAAATAAAATGAAAAAACCCCACCATGCACACACTTTGTAGTTGTCTTCAGAATAGCATGTTTTAAATAAAACCTCTAAATAAAACTTCATAGTGTTGATTTAAATATCCCTTTCTTTCAAACATCATCCTTTTTTCCCCAGTGTTAATTTCCCTGAAGGCCACAGTCTGATTACAAGAAGTAAAAATGGTCCAGGAACGGTGGCTCGTGCCTGTAAATCCCAGCAATTTGGGAGGCCGAGGCTGGTGGATCATGAGGTCAGGACTTTGAGTCCAGCCTGACCAACATGGTGAAATCCCGTCCCCACTAAAAATACAAAAATTAGCTAGGTATGGTGGCGCATGTCTGTAATCCCAGCTACTCGGGAGGTTGAGGCAGGAGAATTGCTTGAACCCAGGAGGAGGAGGTTGCAGTGAGCTGAGATTGCACCACTGCACTCCAGCCTGGGCAACAGAGCCAGACTCCATCTCAGAAAAAAAAAAGAAAAGAAAAGGAAGTAAAAATTAAAATTAACTTCCCACAGGCCTGGCTAAAGTATGGGTTATTGATGGCTGATGTTAGAAATGTTTGATGTAATTTTGATTAACAAACAAAATGTCGTTGTCAAAAAATGGTATACATCTTTGTGTTAGAAAGCTAACATCATGTACATTTTTGTTCATATATTTAGACATTAAACTAATTTTTTTTTTGAGATGGAGTTTCACTCTGGTTGCCAAGGCTGGAGTGCAAAGGTGCGATCTTGGCTCACTGCAACCTCTGCCTCCCAGGTTCAAGAGATTCTCCTGCCTCAGCCTCCCGAGTCCTGGGATTACAGGCACACACCACCACGCCTGGCTAATTTTTGGATTTATTTAGTAGAAACGCGGTTTCACCATGTTGGCCAGGCTGGTTCTCCAACTCCTGACCTTAAGTGACGCACCTGCCTCGGCCTCCCAAAGTGCTGGGATCACAGGTGTGAACCACCACGCTTGGCCTGTTCAACCAGTTATTTATTGAGCTCCTACCATGAGGCTGATTCTGTGCTATCCCTGGATATAAAATGGAAATTGAAACAGACCTAAACCCTGACCTTGGAGTTCAGTCTAGTATATAATAGTCTCTACGAAATTATACATATAAGTCAGGAATCGTATCTTATTCATCAGTACAATGAATATAGTAGGTTTTCTTTGAATATTTGTAGACTAAATGAATGGATTTTACCAGACGTTACCTTGCCATAAACTAAGAAATAGTTACTATTACTCCAGACATATATGTACTTATGGAGGTTTGAGAAATAATGTGGACTAAGAAGCCCTTATATAGCCTCACCCAACTTTAGCATGCTCCTTCCAGAGCCAACCCATCATTCAAATAATCCAAAATTCTGTCTAATATCTGGTTATGAACAGATTCCTGAGACAAAACAAAATGTGGCCACCTATTAATAAAGCAAACAGTCTTGGTGTTCAGACACTGCTGCCGTTTAGTTCAGAACAGATTATTGTCATTATTATAATTTTGTTTATTAAAAAGAAAACTCTTGGCAGCCGAGCGCGGTGGCTCACGCCTGTAATCCCAGCACTTTGGGAGGCCAAGGCTGGTGGCTCACGAGGTCAGGAGATCGAGACCATCCTGGCTAACACGGTGAAACCCCGTCTGTACTAAAAATAAAAAAAATTAGCCGGCCTTGGTGGTGGGTGCCTGTAGTCCCAGCTACTTGGGAGGCTGAGGCAGGAGAATGGCATGAACCCAGGAGGCAGAGCTTGCAGTGAGCAGAGATCGAGCCATTGCACTCCAGCCTCGGTGACAGAATGAGACTCCATCTCAAAAAAAACAAGAAAAAGAAAAGAAAACTCTTTAGCTGGGCACGGTGGCTCATGCCTGTAATCCTAACACTTTGGGAGGCCAAGGCAGATGGATCACCTGAAGTCAGGAGTTAGAGACCAGCCTGGCCAACATGGCAAAACTTCATCTCTACTAAAAATACAAAAATGAGCTGGGCATCGATGTACATGCCTGTAATCCCAGCTACTCAGGAGGCTGAGGCAAGAGAATCGCTTGAACTCGTGAGGCAGTTGCAGTGAGATCGCACCACTGCACTCCAACCTGGGTGACAGAGCAAGATTCTGTCTCAAAAAAAAAAAAAAAAAGAAAACTCTGACATTTATTTTCCAATGGTTTTCATTACCATTGAGATAATTTGAGAAGTATTGGGATAATTTGGGGAAGTAATCTGAGAGATTATATGACCAAGCACTTTTGGAAGCAAGTAACAGATTTCAACACAAATACATAACAGAAATCTCTAAAGTAATACATTTTGAAATGAGGAACTGTATCAGGAACTTTTAAAGTTTTAGAGACAAGTCAGTATGCAACCTTATCTTTTCATTTGCTGGCATCTCAGTGAAATCAGGATCTGTGCTATCAAATCAAAGAAGCAAAAGCCTATAAGGACTTTCCTCTATCTCCCCTGTAAATAATAGATTTTTCTTTTTTTTTTTTTTTTTTGAGGCAGAGTTTTGTTCTTGTTGCCCAGGCTGGAGTGCAGTGGCACGATCTCAGCTCACTACAACCTCCGCCTCCCGGGTTCAAGCAATTCTCCCAAAGTGTTGGGATTATAGGCGTGAGCCACCACGCCCAGCCGTAAATAATGGATTTTTCCTACTTTAATTTACCTGGGGGAGTAAACACAATATGAAAGGGCAAAAACTTGACCTTCCCTAAATCTGATCTACCTAATTAAATGCTGGCCAGCTGCAGTGTCTCATGCCTGTAATCCTGGCACTTTGGGAGGCCCAGGCAGGCGGATCACTTGAGGCCAGGCCAGGAGTTTGAGACCAGCCTGGCCATCATGGCGAAACTCTGTCTCTGCTAAAAATACAAAAATTGGGAGGGATAGCATTAAGAGAAATACCTAATGTAAATGATGGGTTAATGGGTGCAGCACACCAACATGGCACATGTATACATATGTAACAAACCTGCACGTTGTGCACATGTACCCTAGAAATTAAAGTATAATAATAAAAAGAAATCTCACATATCAGAATATGTTACATTCTTTACAGGTACTAAGATTTCCTTTAATGGATTTTTGAAGTCATATTTATAAAAAGTTATTATATTAACCAGGGAGGAGATGAGTACTTAAGGCAAAAAAAGACATTTTTTTCTCTGAGTCAGCAATACTTGTCCTTAAATTTCCCATTGGAGGGCAAAGCCGATTTGAAATCTGTCTCCTTTTTGTCTCTTGGGATTGTTCTCACCTGAACAGAACATTACAGCATTTACTACAGGGCCAAATGAAAGACAGAAGTCAGAGAGTAACTCCTAGAAAATGGAATAAATTGTTCCTGAAGGTTAAAAAAAAAATACAAAAATTAACCAGGCATGTGGCCCACGCCTGTAATCCCAGCTACTCTTGGGAGGCTGAGGCAGGAGAATCACTTGAACTCAGGAGGTAGAGGTTGCAGAGATGGTGCCACTGTACTCCAGCCTGGGTGACAGAGTGAGACTCTGTCTCAAAAAAATAAAGGAAAATGAAAAATAAAGTGGTGCTTACCTAGGACCTCCAAAAGTTAGCCTCTATTTTGTCTTCCAAAGGTAAGAGAGTAGATTGTCCTCTGGGCTGATATAAATGGGGAAGACAGTACTGTATGTGACCTTGTGTTCTGACATGATTCTGGCATCTGTGCAGAATCTTTTTGGTAGCATGTGCTTTGTCACTTTCTAGCAAGCAGGGAGACTAGGCAGGCACCTAGGGCCTGAGAGTCAACCAGTCCACACGTTTCCAAACCATGAGGGTAGGAGAAAGGGGTCCCAATATTCTCAGCATTTGGGTAGTTACTACTCCGAGATGGGTTTTAAAGCCAGTTAATAAAAAGGCACCATGCCACCGGAAGAGATATGTGAGCTTGGATCTCAAAGGGTATGTACTCTGAAGCTGAAATCATAAACCAGAGCATCTGATGTGTGTCTCATACACAATGAGGGAGGAAGGACTGCTGACGGAAATGTCACACGCAGCTGCTTTTAGCACTTGGCTCTCACTGATGAAGCTTCCCTCTCTGCCACTACACACCACCCTCTTCCTACATGAGAGACCTTTAGGGCTCTTTAGTTCTCATCCTGAAAGCTGTGGGACAGATTATAAATTGATATCTTTTATATCAGTATAGCTCATGCTTGGTTGATGTGCCTGATGGGCTATAGGAGTGATTGACTCAGCTACTATTTTGGTGAGGAAAGAGAGTCTTCCTTAGAAAGAGAATTGTGTGCCTTGCCCTAAAAAGGTTAGGAATGCGGCCTATGGTCCTAATTAAGTGCCCTGTTAAACAGTGTCCCTTGAACAAGTCACTTTCTTCTTCTGCAACTTCTCCAGCTATATAATTAAGCATGTAATCCTGTGTGACTTCATAGTAGGGTTGTGAGGACAGGCTATTCCCACCGTCTGGAGTTGTCTTCCCCTCACTTTTCCATTGCCAAATAAATCGTCCTTATCTTTTGGAGTTAAGTTGAAACATCAATTTCTTGAGATTGTTTCAGATCCTACTTTTCTACTGCCCAAAACCCGTAGTTCCCCAGTCTGTCACTTTATAGCACCTGGCACTTCCCTTTTTGCAACCAATGTCACGCTTATTGTAATAGTTGTTCAATGTCTATCTTCCCAATTAGACTAGAAGTTTCATTAGCATAGAAATCCTATCTTTTGCACCTCGATTCTTAGCACAATCTTGGGCATTGTGCTTTGTACCTATTTGGATGATGAATGAAAGATGAATGATTACATCTCATAATCACTTTGAGATTCCTTTCTGAAAACTCCAATATTGAACTCTTTGTGCCTTTCTAAATATGCTGGTAAAACTGAGAACAGGTTTTTCTATTAGAGTGAAAAGGACTGCTGTTTATTGAATGTTTCCCCCTACCTCGCTACTCCTTACCTTTTCCTATTATGACAATCTTAAATTCTCTCCATGGCAAGCTGTTCCCAACTCCCTAAACAGTCATTTCTAGGAAGACTGCAGGCTGTTCATTTTGTTTTCTTTTTTGAGACAGGGTCTCACTGTGTGGCCCAGGCTGGAGTACAGTGGCGCGATCTCGGCTCACTGCAACCTCCGCCTCCTGGGTTCAAGCGATTCTTCTGCCTCAGCCTCCCGAGGAGCTGGGACTACAGGTGCGCACCACCACGCCCAGCTAATTTTTGTAATTTTAGTAGAGATGGGGTGTCACCATGTTGGCCAGGCTGGTCTCGAACTCCTGACCTTGTAATCTGCCCACCTTGGCCTCCCAACGTGCTGGGATTACAAGTGTGAGCCACCGTGCCCGGCCACAGGCTGTTTGTTTTTAAATGAAACAAAAAATCCAAACTGGCTTTTAGAATTAACTGTTGTCTTTCCTCACATTTTTGTCAATTTAAAGAACTGTTAAGCTCCTGTAAAAAAGATGTTATGTAATCTGTAACTACATTTGAGAATGTTAGTCAACTTCAAATAAATTCTTACCAAAATACCTTTTTCTTGTTAACACTAATTGTTGCTGAAATATTAACCTGAACTTGCATATCATTCTATCTGGCAACTTTTCAGAATAGATTCATACCAGCTTCACATGCCATTTATTAATTCATCAATTAATTGATTCAGTAATTATTAGTGAACACTAAATGTCAGGCACTTTTCTAGATGTTTGGGAATATCAGTAAATAAAACAGATTCTTGCCCTCAAGGAAATATTTATAGAACTGCTGTTGTATAAACAGTACTCATCAAATATTCCACTGCTCCCCTGCTTTTCCCAGCATCCCTTACAGTTAGGTTTGGATCATGTGATTACAGCAAGCTAATGGCCTATCAAGGAAATGACATGTATCATTTTTAGGCTGAGGAAGGTATAAGCTAATGTGCTCCCCAACCCTGTTATTACCTGTCACACAACCCCAGAGGTTAATATTCCACATGGTTCAGCCACAAGATATAATTTGAGTCATTTTGGTTACTGAGTCTCATAGTCCGTTTGTGCTGCTATAGCAACATACCTAAGACTAGATAATTTACAAATAATAGGAATTCGTTTCTCACAGTTCTGGAGTCTGCAAAGTCCAATATCAAGCCACTAGTAGATAATGCCTTGTTGCTGCATTTTTCAGAGGGTCTGAAATCTGTGTCCTTACATGGAGGAAGAGACAGAAGGGGCAAACCCACCCCCTCAAGTCCTCTTCTAAAGCACTGTGAGAGTGGAGCCCTCAGGGCCTACCCTCTGAAGGCCCTACCTCTTAAAGAGTGTTTCATTGTAGATTAAATTTCAATATGAGTTTTGGAGGAGACACAAACTGTAGAATTCCACCCCTGGCCCCCCAAAATATATGTCCTTCTTACTTACAAAATATAATCATTCCATCCCAATAACATCAAAAGTCTTAACTTGTTCCAGCATCAACTTTAGAGTCTGACTCTGAAGTCTCATCTAAATATCATCTTCATAACATTTGGATGTGACTCAAGGTACAATTCATCATGAGGCAAATTCCTCTCCCGTTGTGAGCCTGTGAAATCAAGTTATGTGCTTCCAAAATACAATGGTGTACAGGCATACGACAGACATTCCCATTCTAAAAGGGAGCAATAGGCAAGAAGAAATGGGTAACAGGTCTCAAGTAAGTCCAAAATCCAACAAGGCAAACTTTAAATCTTGAAGCTTCAGAAAAACAATCTTTGACTCTATGTGCGACCTTCTGGACACCCTGGGGTGAGGGTTGGGCCCCCAAAGCCCTGGACAGCTGCATTCCTATGGCATCACTGGGCATAGCCCATGCTGCAGCTCTCCCTGACTGATGCTGCACACTGGTGGCTCTCTAGGTTTTGGGTCTTGCCAGGGGTTGGGGGAGTAGAGCTGACCCTTCCCCATGGCCCCACTAGATACTGTACTTGACAGGGCTCTCTACAATGGCCTTAACCCACAACTCCATTTGACATTGCCTAGTGGAGGTTCTCTGCAGTATCCCTGGCAGCTCTCTACCTGGGCCCTGAGGCTTTCAGAGAGAGCCTTTGAAATCTAGGTGGAGGTAGCAATGCCTCCACAAGTGTTGCAGTCTGCATGCCTGCAGAGCTGGCAGCACAAGGATCCCACTGAAGTTTATCGCTTGTGCCTCCTGGAGCAGCAGCCCAAGCCTCACTTGGGCCCACTTGAACCACAGCTGGGGCAGCCAAGGAGTTCTGCACCTGAATGCAGGGAACAGACTTGAGGCAATATTGAGAGCCCCAAGGTCCCTCCTTTGAAGCCTTTCTTCCCTCAAGGCACTAGCACTCTGGGCCTGTGATGGGAGTAGCAGCCTCAGAGATCTCTGAAATGCCTTCAGGGTCATTGTTCCATTGTCCTGAGAATAGCATCTGGCTTCCTCCTATCCCTATTAATTTTATCAAATAGCCTCTTGGCCACATCCTTGGTATGCTTTCTGAAATATGCTTTGCAACCCTGCCAGTGTTTAAATTAAAATGGAGACTTGGCCAGAAAACTTTTTGAGCAGACAAAACCAGAGGCCTTAAAAATAACCTGAATCTCCATCCTGGCTAACACGGTGAAACCCCGTCTCTACTAAAAATACAAAAAAATTAGCTGGGCGTCATGGCGGGTGCCTGTAGTCCCAGCTACTCTGGAGGCTGAGGCAGGAGAATGGCGTGAACCTGGGAGGTAGAGCTTGCAGTGAGCCGACATCGCACCACTGCACTGAAGCCTGGGCGACAGAGAGAGACTCTGTCTCAAAAAAATTAAAAAATAAAATAAAAAATAACCTAAATCTTGCTTAAACTGCAAAAACTTAAGTTGGGTAATTTCTGATGGTTCATGCTAGACAAAACTAAAACTCAACCCCAGCCATGATAAGTATGATTATGTGATTAGGGGCTTGCCAACAAGTACCTAAAAAAAGGAATTTTGTAATTGGAAGCCAATCAAATAATTTATTTTGCTTCTCCATTTTCCCAATAAATACCTGACATTTCATCATTGGGACACTAAACTTCTTTTAGTCTGGTGTTCCCCAACTCATGAATTGCATCTCACTCAAATAAACTCTTGTGCCTCAGATTTTTCTTTAACACCAGGCTGAGAAGTTTCCAAATCTTCTGCTTCCCTTTTAGTTCTATCTTTAATTCATTTCTCCCTTCTTACATTTTACTATAAGCAATCAAAAGAAGCCATGCAGAACCTTCAACACTTTGCTCAGATAATTCTGCCAAATATCCTGGTTCATCACTCACAAGTTCTGCCATTCATAAAACGTTAGGACACAGAAACAATTCAGTCAAGTTCTTTGCCACAAGAATGGCTTTTCCTCCAGTTTCTAATACCATTTTCCTCATTTCCATCTGAGGAAGTATTGTACTTTAGTAGAGATAGGGTTTCACCATATTGGCCAGGCTGGTCTGGAACTCCTGACCATAGGTTATCCACCCATCTTGGCCTCCCAAAGGGCACGGTGATTCATGCCTGTAATCCTAGCACTTTGGGAGGCCGAGGCAGGTGGATCACCTGAGGCCAGAAGTTCGAGACCAGCCTGGCCAACATGGCAAAACCCTGTCTCTACTAAAAATACAAAAAATTAGCTGGGCATAGTGGCACACACCTGTAATCCCAACTACTGGGAAGGCTGAGGCAAAAGAACTGCTTGAACCGGGGAGGCGGAGGTTGCAGTGAGCACCACTGTACTCCAGCCTAAGCAACAAAGCGAGACTATCTCAAAAAAACAAAAAACAAACAAACAAAAACCCTGAGAATGGGTAATGTATAAATAATAGAAATGCATTTTTTACAGTTCTGGAGGCTGAGATTTCCAAAATGAAGGCAACAATAGGTCTGATATCTAGTCTAGTCTATTCTAGTTTGATGTCTGTGCTTCCAGTGGCTCCTCGTCCTCACATCGTGGAAGGGATGGAAGGGTAAAAAGAGAGAAATGCTGTGTAAAGCCTCCCTTATAAAGCATTAATTCCATTCATGAGGGTGGAGCACTCATGACTTACTCACCTCATAAAGGTCCCACCTTTTAATAGTTAATATAACTTTGGGCATTAAGTTCCTACATGAATTTTGGAGGGGACACAAACATTCAAACCATAGCACTGAGTGAAGGTGAGGAGTTGAGCAACACTGAACTTTCACTGCTTGCCAACCTGTGCTAGATAGATGACATGTGTGAGATATAAATGTTTGTTGTTTAAACCACTGAGGATTTAGAGTCTGACTGCTGGGATAGTCAGTGTTAATTGCCCTGAGTAATACAACTCCTATTATTTATTTAGTACCTTTTATGTACTTTGCTATGCAAAGTACTAGGCTGTGTGTAATAGTGATTTGTTACAATTCTGATAGTTGACTTCCCTTGCCAAAAAGGAGTCATGTTCAGTATTCATTCCGAATTATATTATCATCAATCTCACCAAATTTGCTCAATTTTTTAAAAACAGTGGTTCTCGGCCGGGCGTGGTGGCTCATGCCTGTAATCCTAGCACTTTGGGAGGCCAAGGTAGGTGGATCACCTGAGGTCAGGAGTTTGAGACCAGCCTGCAAACATGGTGAAAACCCATCTCTACTAAAAACACAAAAATTAGCTGGGTGTGGTGGCGGCCACCTATAATCCCAGCTACTCAGGAAGCTGAAGCAGGAGAATCACTTGAATCCAGGAGGCGGAGGTTGCAGTGAGCTGAGATCACGCCATTGTACTCCAGCCTGGGCGATAAAAGCAAAACTCAGTCTCAAAAAAATAAATAAATAAAATAAAAACAGTGGCTCTCAGAAAGAAACAAACAGTGGCTCTAAAATTGATACAAGTCTTGAAATTTTAGAGGGAAAAGAAGGATTTTAGGCTTATTCTAGAAGATTTAATTAGGATGAGACTTAATTAGGATGAGTCCTGATTCCATGGTTGAGTATTTAATCTGCCTTATTTTTCCCAGAGGTAAAATTGGAGATAATATTTTGCTACTAATGTCACAACGTTATTATAATGATCAAAATGAGTTGACTATATAAATTATGAGGCATATATATACAAATATGACTATTCTCATTGAACCTGAACATTGATTTTTATCATATCACACTTGTGCTTTAATAAAAGGAAAATATAATGAAAACTATTTAGGTAGGGTAGTCCAAAATGTCTTCACATTCAGAGTCTGTCTCTGAATCACTTTTGACTCTGAATCATCAATGTCTGTATTTTCTTCCTTTTTTTTTTTTTTTTTTGAGACAGAGTTTTGCTCTTGTTGCCCAGGCTGGAGTGCAATGGCATGATCTCAGCTCACTGCAACCTCTGTCTCCTGGGTTCAAGCAATTCTCCTGCCTCAGCCTCCCGAGTAGCTGGGATTACAGGCATGCGCCACCAGGCCCGGCTAATTTTTTGTGTTTTTAGTGGAGACAGGGTTTCACCATGTTGGCCAGGCTGGTCTTGAACTCTTGACCTCAGATGATCCACCTGTGTTGGCCTCCCAAAGTGCTGGGATTACAGGCATTAGCCACCAAGCCCGGCCTATGTCTGTATTTTTCAATATAATATTACAAGTGTGGCCTCGAGAGCACTGGTGATGTAATGTTCCTTAGGCAGGTCTTCAGGTCTTCACCTTTTTTGTTTGTTTGTTTTTGAGACAGAATCTCCCTCAATCACCAAGGCTGGAGTGCAGTGGTGTGATCTCGGCTCACTGCAACCTCCACCTCCCGGGTTCAAGCAATTCTCCTGCCTCAGCCTCCCAAGCAGCTGGGATTACAGGTGCCTGCCACCATGCCCAGCTAATTTTTTTTTTTTTTTTGTATTTTTAGTAGAGATGAAGTTTCACCATGTTGGCCAGCCTGGTCTCGAACCCCTGACCTCAGGTGATCCACCTGCCTTGGCCTCCCAAAGTGCTGGGATTACAGGCATGAGCCATCGTGCCTGGCCAGACTATTTTTATCTGAGTTTTTCTTCCAAGTCTCTGACATCCAGTCTGCAAGTTTTGATGCTAATGCTTTCTTGATCTTACAGGAAGGTGTCAATGAAAGGTTTTCAGGCAACAAGTAGGATTCATATAGCTTGCTTAAATGATACTTAAATGAACAAACTGAAAGGGCTATGAGTTTCAGTTTTCCAGTCATGCCACCAGGATTAACAATCAATCAAGTTTGGGCATGAATAGACAATGACGGCTGGGTGTGGTGGCTCATGCCTGTAATCCTAGCACTTTGAGTGGCCGAGGCCGGCGGATCACCTGAGGTCAGGAGTTCGAGACCAGCCTCAACATGGAGAAACCCCGTCTCTACTACAAATACAAAATTAGCCGGGCATGGTGGTGCATGCCTGTAATCCCAGCTACTCGGGAGGCTGAGGCAGGAGAATTGCTTGAACCTGGGAGGCAGAGGTTGCAGTGAGCTGAGATCACACCATTGCACTCCAGCCTGGGCAACAAGAGTGAAACTCCGTCTCAGAAAAAAAAAAAAAAAAAAAAAAAAGACAATGACAACTATAGCACAACTGCTGAGCAGAAGAAACAACTGTAAAACATCAGTTTTAAGACACATCTTGGCCGGGCGCGGTGGCTCACGTCTGTAATCCCAGCACTTTGGGAGGTCAAGGCACGTGGATCACGACGTCAGGAATTCAAGACAAGCCTGGCCAACATGGTGAAACCTCATCTCTACTAAAAATACAAAAATTAGCCAGGCGTCGTGGTGGGCACCTGTAATCCCAGCTACTCGGGAGGCTGAGGCAGGAGAATCGCTTGAACCTGGGAGGCAGAGGTTGCAGTGACCCTAGATCGCGCCACTGCACTCCAGCCTAGGCAACAGAGCAAGACTGTCTCAAAAAAAAAAAAAAAAGACACATCTTGATTTCTGAGATATTACAATATAACTATATATTTCTTGGGACAGATAAAATGCAGTATTGTTATTTTATTAATACAAATAAAGGTATATAATAATAAGGCCCTGATAACCTCAGCTACACAGGAACTCACAGATCATTCTTTCTTTTCCATCTCATTCTTAGCACGCTAATCCAACCTTTGCAATCTTAAATCTAGGACAAAGCAATAGAAGGATTTGGGCTATGGAGAAAAGAGAACTCATTTTGGTGTCTAAAGACCTGGATCTGACTTTCAGCCTTGCAATACTTTTAGGAGGTGAAATCACTACTCTGGGGGAAATATCTGATTCAGAAGGTTTTGGGCGGGGGGGATTTAATGTATGCAGAAGCAGTTTGTAAACTGTAAAATCTCTATACAAGAGGAAGAGAACTGGCTGCACTCCAGCCTGGGTGACAGAGTGAGAGTTCTGCCTCAAAAAAAAAAAACAAAAAAAAAAAGAACTAATATTTGTTGAGTGCCAGGAACTGAGCTGGGTATTTGGGCATTATCTTATTTGATCTGATGTAAATGCTAAGGCATATCATGTCTGGATAGTCACCTTGCTAGCTAATCCATTCTGTGGTGGGTTTTTTTTTCTTCTTCTTCCTGAAATAACCCTTTCATTCCCTTAAACCTTAAAGCAGAAATCTTCTTTAGTTACTGTTCCTATCACAAACCAGTTGATGACTATGAGCTCATCACAAAGCTGCAGCCTCTCACTCATTGTTGCCTTGTAGTAAGACACATGATGAAATAAGAGACCCTTAGGCTACCAGTGTGCTGTGTAGAATCTTCCCTGTGATTCTTTTGCCAGAACTAGCCCCTGGGACCTTGGCAGAAAATTTTTACTTATACTATGATAAAAATTCCAAAAATAGGCTGGGCGCGGTGGCTCACGCCTATAATCTCAGCACTTTGGGAGGCTGAGGCAGGCAGATCCACTAGAGGTTAGGAGTTCAAGACCAGCCTGGGCAACATGGCGAAACCCTGTCTCTACTAAAAATACAAAAATTAGCTGGGTGTGGTGGCAGGCGCTTGTAATCCCAGCTACTCGGGAGGCTGAGGCAGGAGAATCACTTGAATCTGGGAGGCAGAGGCTGCAGTGAGCCAAGATTGCGCTATTGCACTCCAGCCTGGGTGACAGAGTGAGACTCCGTCTCAAAAAAAAAAAAAAAAATTCCAAAAACAATCTAAGATGCATTGGACAATTTATACAGATTCAGGATTCAGGTGCACAGAAAGTTGACATCCAAAACCCCCGGCCATAGAAACCAGAGATCCCAGTGACAAGATAATTTTGGGGTCTGTAACTCTATTCAGAGGCAGAAAAGTTACTGGCAAGAAATTTAGTCCTAGGGAAGTATAAGTCAGGAACTCTTTTCCCATCCCCAAAGTCCTGATTACCTTTGAGACTTTTCTTTTGAGACAGGGTCTCAGCCAGTTTCTTTTATTTATTATTGATTGATTGATTGATTGGTAGAAACAGGGTCTCACCTTATTACCCACTTTGGTCTCCAACTCCTGGCCTCAAGCAGTCCTCCCACCTCACCTCCCAAAGTGCTGGGATTACAGGCATGAGCCACCAAGCAGGGCTGAGACTGACTCTTTGAACTAAAGACCTAGTCTCCTCATGATCTTCCAGCTGGAAGAATTGAGTCATTGAAATGAAGTGAATCTTAGTCTATAAGTTGGGGTTGTAGATCCTAGCTCAGAGGCTAGACGGTATATGAGGCACATTATTGCACCAGGCAAGTGAAATGCTATCTTGACCTATTAATAGGTGGTGGTAAGGTGGAGTGGTGGGGGAGGTGTTAAAGCTATAAACTTTATTATGTTTCAAATGACCTCAGGATGGGGGGCAAATACCTACAACAATTTGAGGAGTCCCAAGACCCATCTCATGGCTACCATCTTAGGACAGTAATGTAATGTTTAATTTCTAACTCAATGTAACATTCATATCATTCTCTGATTATTTTATGTACATCTATATTAACTTCTCACTAAGGTTTTAAGCTTGAGGACAGTAATCACATCTTACTTTAAAAAATATTCTGGGCCGGGCACGGTGGCTCATGCCTGTAATCCCAGCTCTTTCGGAGGCCGAGGTGGGCTGATCACGAGGTCAGAAGATTGAGACTATCCTGGCTAACACGGTGAAACCCTGTCTCTACTAAAAATACAAAAAATTAGCTGGGCGTGGTGGCGGACTCCTGTAGTCCCAGATCCTCAGGAGGCTGAGGCAGGAGAATGGCATGAACCCGGTAGGTGGAGCTTACAGTGAGCCCAGATCGCGCCACTGCACTCCAGCCTGGGTGACGGAGCGAGACTCTGTCTCAAAAAGAAAAAAAATTCTGCAGGCTGGGCACAGTGGCTCACACCTGAAATCCCAGCACTTTGGGAGGCCAAGGCAGGTGGATCACCTAAGGTCAGGGGTTCGAGACCAGTCTGGCTAACATGGTGAAACCCCTATCTCTACTAAAACTACAAAAATTAGCTGGGTGTGGTGGCATGCACCTGTAGTCCCAGCTACTTGGGAGGCTGAGGCAGGAGAATTGCTTGAACCCAGGAAGCGGAGGTTGCAGTGAGCTGAGATTATGCCACTGCACTCCAACCTGGGCAACAGAGTAAGACTCCGTCTCAAAAAAAAAAAAATCTGCATGTATAATACCTAGCATAATTCCTTGTACAACCCAGAAAATTTATTTTTTTTATTTTTTGAAACAGAGTCTTGCTGTGTTGCCCAGGCTGGAGTGCAGCGGCATGATCTTGGCTTACTGCCACCTCTGCCTCCTGGCTTCAAGTGATTCTCCTGCCTTAGCCTCCTGAGTAACTGGGATTACAGGCATGTGGCACCATGCCTGGCTAATTTTTGTATTTTTAGTAGAGATGGGATTTCACCATGTTGACCAGGCTTGTCTCGAACTCCTGACCTCGTGATCTGCCTGCCTCGGCCTCCCAAAGTGCTGGGATTACAGGTGTGAACCACTGCGCCCGGCCCAGAAAATTTATTAATATCACCACTTCTTATTTGACTCTGGCAGAGATTATATCTTGCGTGATCTCTATAAAAGTGGGACCCAGATTAATTTTTGCCATCAACGCGTGTTTTTCCAAGAACCCAGCCGCTCCAGAAAAATCTATTTTATTTGCAGAACTATTGCAAAATCTGACACTCCACTTCACTGGAATGCCCTTGTAATTGCCAAATGTTGTCTTGCCTCGTGGTAATTCTTGGCCAGACCTATGGATTGCCAGACCTTGCAGCTGTTTACCCTTGAAGTCCAATTCTCCTAAAACATCAAATCCAGTGACATTTCTTAATGACCTAATAAGAGTCGGCACTGAGCTAGTTGCCACTGAGGGTATGAAGACATGATTGCTGCCCTTAAGTAGTTAAGAGTTTATATGAAGACAAACGAATATTTTCAATAGCATATACAGACTTCAGTGATAATTTAGATAGTAAAGAAACAAAGGCATGACACAGAAAAAAAAAAGCCTTTAAGAACTCACTGGAGGGAGAGACATCAATTCTACCCTCTTGTTTTGTTGTTGTTGTTGTTGTGGTTGTGGTTTTGAGACAGTCTCACTCTGTTGCTCAGCGTGGAGTGCAGTGGTGTGATCTCAGCTCACTGCAAACTCCGCCCCCCAGGTTCAATCGATTCACCTGCCTCAGCCTCCCAACTACCTGGGATTACAGGCACCCGCCACCATGCCTGGCTAATTTTTGTATTTTTATTAGAGATGGGGTTTCACCATGTTGGTCAGGCTGGTCTTGAACTCCTGACCTCAAGTGACCCAGCCACTTCGTCTTCCCAAAGTACTGGGATTATAGGGGTGAGCCACTGCGTCTGGCCATTTATCTCTTGACCTGAAATTACTCAGTGGCACCATTGAGATTTCTGCCTTGAAAACGGTCCACCTCTTTTTTTTTTTTTTTTTTTTTGAGACAGAGTTTCGCTCTTGTTGCTTAGGCTAGAGTGCAATGATGCAATCTCAACTCACCGCAACCTCTGCCTCCTGGATTCAAAGGATTCTCCCGCCTCAGCCTCCTGAGTAGCTAGGACTATAGGCATGCGCCACCACGCCTAGTTAATTTTGTATTTTTAGTAGAGATGGGGTTTCTCCATATTGGTCAGGCTGGTCTCAAACTCCCGATCTCAGGTGATCCACCCTCCTTGGGCTCCCAAAGTGCTGGGATTACAGGTGTGAGCCACTGCGCCCAGCTCAGTCCACCTCTCTTTACTGCTAATTTTGTGTATTGGAACCTGTACTCTATCCATTTTGTTTTTAAATTTTCTAGACCCGGAAAGCATGGACTGGTACCAGGTCACAAAGATACTATTTGTGTTGTCACAACTTATTCTCTTCCTCTAAGATGTTGGGACAGAATATGTGGGATTTCTACTCATCTTCATCTTTCTACCTGGAATATGATCTTCACGAAACAGACTTTTCTTCTGAGATGAAGAAACTTTGTCAAAAGCAGTCTAATTCAGTCCGGTCAATATGGTGAAACCCTGTCTCTACTAAAAAATAATATATGAAAAAATTAGCTGGACGTGGTGGCATGCACCTGTAATCCCAGCTACAGGGAGGCTGAAGCAGGAGAATCACTTGAACCCGGGAGGCGGAGGTTGCAGAGTGCTGAGATCATGCCACTGCACTCCAGCCTGGGCAACAGAGTGAGACTGTCTCAAAAAAAAAAAAAAAGACAGTCCAATAGCCACTGTTTCCTAGTTCTTCACCTCATATTCCCTGCTCCCTTCTTAACCTTTCTGCTTTGGCGACTTTATCTTTTTCCCTATGAGAATGAATGTCACCCCACTCCAAGTCTTCAATCAATGTGTTCTAAAAGGAGAGAAAGCCTAAGAGTATGAGTCAACTTTATTCCTGGTACTGAACTTTGTTTGTTCTCATGTTAGTTGCCCGAAGGAACAGGGAAGAGAAGCAAAAGGGAAGTGATTAACAGGTCAACCTATTTGACTAATTTAAGAGATCAATTTAAAAGAAAATGATAACATAGCAAACTCCTCTTATATGCACATAAGGCATTACTAAGTATCTATTTTATGGTGCTTGACATGTTACAATTGCCTTTTTTTCTTCTTTTTTTTTTGAGACAGAGTCTTACTGTGTTGCCCAGACTGGAGTACAGTGGCGCGATCTCGGCTCACTGCAGCTACCGCCTCCTGGGTTCAAGCGATTCTTGTACCTCAGCCTCGCGAGTAGTTGGGACTACAGGCGACCGCCACAACACCTGGCTAATTTTTGTTGTATTTTTAGTAGAGATAGGATTTCGCCATGTTGCCCAGGCTGGTCTTGAACTCCTGACCTCAAGTGATCTGCCCACCTCGGCCTCCCAAAGCATTGGGATTACAGGTGTGAGCCACCGTGCCTGGCCACAGTTGCCTTTTTTAACCTTGATGTTGGCTTTTTTTTTTTTTTGAGATGGAGTCTTACTCTGTTGCCTGGGCTGGAGTGCAGTGGCGCTATCTCGGCTCACTGCAACCCTGCCTCCCTGGTTTAAGTGATTCTCCTACCTCAGCCCTCCAGAGTAGCTGGGATTACAGGGGCCCGTCATCAAACCTGGCTAATTTTTTTTTGCATTTTTAATAGAGACGGGGTTTCACCATGTTGCCCAGGCTGGTCTTGAACTCCTAGCCTCAAGTGATCTGCCCACCTCGGCCTTCCAAAGTGCTGGGATTACAGGTACGAGCCACCGCGCCGGGTCAGATGTTGGTTTCTTAAGCAAAAACAGAATCAGGATATCCCAGGAAGTCAACAGACATCTATCTGGTGGCCTCCTAGGTGAAAATGCTCTCCTTCAACTTAGCAGGTGTGAGCATTATAACTGTAACCTGTCCTTTTTTTTTTTTTTTTTTTTTTTTGAGATGGAGTCTTCGCTCTGTCGCCCAGGCTGGAGTGGAGTGGCGCGATCTCGACTCACTGCAAGCTCTGTCTCCTGGGTTCACGCCATTCTCCTGCCTCAGCCTCTTGAGTAACTGGGACTACAGGCACCCGCCACCAAGCCCGGCTCATTTTTTTGTATTTTTAGTAGAGACAGGGTTTCACCGTGTTAGCCAGGATGGTCTCAATCTCCTGACCTCATAATCCACCCGCCTCGGCCTCCCAAAGTGCTGGGATTACAGGCGTGAGCCACCGCGCCCGGCCGTGACCTGTCCTTCTATCTGGACTTTATATTAGAATGGTTTATGTCTGCACCTATGTCTCCATTAGAATGTAACCTCCTGGAGAAGAGAATTCATTTTCTTGTTTATCTTTATTTCCATCTACATCATCAAGTGTTTCATGTACATGCCAATGTTCAAAAACTTTTTTTAATCAATTAGTCAAACTTTGCTAAAGTGGTAGCTTGTCACTACTGCCGGGGTTTGTTGAAGTGTGCCACTCTGCATGCCAGCTAATAATAATAACAACAATAGCAGTTAACCTGTGAAAACCGTGAACAGCAACTCCCCTGAGAGCCAATGACAACTAGAGATATGGCAAGGAGTCATGTTGGAAGAATACTCATCCAGACCCTTGCTGAAATAGACCCAGAAAACGGCTCTGTGGAGTTACACCCAGAATGGAGCCTATGGAGAACACCCATATTCAACAACAGTGGCTGACTTTCAGCACGCAGCAGACAGCCTCTGAGAGACTTTGTTCTGTGTCTCACCCTTCTCTTATGCAGTGAGGAAAGGGAGACTCTCTAGGCCAGGCAGTAACCCTGAGAGCTTCCCTGACAGAGGATTGCTGAGAGACTGAGCAGATGCAAGAGGAATGCCTCTGTTCTTCCCTCACTGCCTATTTTGGCCATCTCCCTGCTTTTAGACTTTGCAGTGGAGGGGCCAGAGGCTTGAGCCAAGCCAAAGATACAGGAGAAGGATCTGGAATCCACCTCAGTGGGTAGGGCCAATTAAGACAAGAGGGGTGTACACAGAGGGAAATGTTCAGAAAACAAACCTCTTGCAAGAATCTGGAGGTATAACAGGGCCAAGTCTTCATACTGAGTTGGTGGGGGCTTCACTTTAATATGTGAATGTTGGAAAGAGGTGGGATATGAAAAGAAATCACAATACCTTGATCACCAGCTTCTACCAGAGGGATCTTGTCTCTTATTGCTGCTGTGAGTACTTTGGGGCCTCATGAGTGAGCTTGGCTGTCTAGAACCCTAGTTGGCCTTGAGTGAAGAAAATCAGTAACTGTAGTTAGACTCCCCTGATCTGCCCTACCCGTCTGTCCTAGCATCATCTAGAGAACACTCTAGGAAGAGGCTGTGGGTATAATTGAGTGTACCCAGTGTTCTGTGTCCATGTACCGGGAGCTCTGGGTTTACCTGAGATTCTTTCCATGTGGCTGAAAAGAGTTGGAAAGAGTTGGCCTTGATAGTCAGGGGCTTCAGTTCTCATTATGTTTTCCCAATGTGGCAGCTCCATAATGCTGGAAAAACTCTGTTCCCCCAGGACCCTCTTCCTCTTCCTTGTACCGTGAAGATGCAGAAGGAGAGGAGTTTGTCCATGCTATTCTTTCTCTGTGATCTGCTGTGCAAGGTGTCATGTAGCACATGCAGGCAGTGAGCATTCTTTCCTTGACTTTAAGCTTGGCAGTTACCCGGGGTTCAAAAGTTCTGAGGGCAACTGTCCTCCTTTAAGTCTTGGCTGCTCTACCTTGTATAACTTCTACCTTTATCTTTCACAAGTTTTTATCTTCAGGAAACTCCCAAGCATTCTGGAAGCTCTGCATGTGAGTAAGAACCACTGCTGTTGCTGTTGCTGTAGCTGCCTGAATCTATGGCAAAAAGCCAGGAAAAAAAAATTGCTTCACACCATGTGCACCGACTCCCCTGGAGCTGGCACCACCAGGGCGTCTGCAGAGCTATGTAAGTCGTTCTCCAAGCAGTCTGTCTCTTTGGTAGCTACAGAAACAGTGTTTGTTATCCTTTAGTTTTCAGTAGACAGGCAAAAATCTGATGGCGACATTCTCTGTTTCTGAAGTTGGAGAGCCAACCAGCAAAACCTTCAGAAAGAAGGCAGCTTCTACCAGAGGGATCTTGTCTCTTATTGCTGCTTTCAATACTTTGGAGCCTCAGTGAGAGGACTCCCTATGAAACCATGGAATTAAAGTTGCCCTTTCAGATTTTAACCTTGAGATCAATGCACAGTGGGTCAAAGTATAGTTATTCAAAGTCTTAGTAAAGAGGTAAAATGGCTCCCTGGTAAGCAAGATTATGCTATAATCTTAAAATAGGCTCACACCTGTAATCCCAGGACTTTGGGAGGCTGAGGTGGGCAGATCACCTGAGGTTGGGAGTTCGAGACTAACCCAGGTAACACGGTGAAACCCCGTCTCTACTAAAAGTTCAAAATTAGCTGGGCATGGTGGTGCATGCCTGTTATCCCAGCTACTCGGGAGCCTGAGGCAGAAGAATCACTTGAACCTGGGAGGCAGAGGTTGCGGTGAGCCAAGATCGCGCCATTGCACTCCAGCCTGGGCAACAACAGCAAAACTCCGTCTCAAAAAAAAAAAAAAAAGTTTAGGAAGACAGAATGTCTCAGAGGCAAATGCTGTTGGTGTTTATCCAAGTGTTTGTAGGTAAGAGGTTTCACTAGCCTGTTCCATTCTGGAAGTGGCTGCTTTGGAGTTGAATGGGTTTGAATCTATCATGGCCTGTAAATATTTATTAAATAGGCCAGGCACGGTGGCTCATGCCTGTAATCCCAGCATTCTGGAAGCCAAAGTGGGCAGATCACTTGAGGTCAGGAGTTCAAGACCAGCCTGGCCAACATAGTGAAACCCCATCTCTATCAAAAGAAAAAAACACAAAAATTAGCTGGGTGTGGTGGTGTGCACCTGTAGTCCCATCTATTTGGGAGGCTGAGGCAGGAGAATTGCTCAAACCCTGGAGGTGGAGGCTACAGTGAGCTGAGATTGCACCACTGCACTCTAGCCTGGGTGACACAGTGAGACCCTGTCTCAAAAAAAAAAAAGTTTATTAAATAAAACAGACGCCCTTGTTTACTCTGTAAGCAACCTACTCTTACCATCTGACTTCCCAAGTGCTGCTCACAGGACATGAATGTTTTGACCCTTGGCCATTATATTTTTCTTTTTCTATTCAAAATTTTATGAATAAACTGGTATTCTGGTTTTGAATACCAGCCTCTGGAAGCTTGAGTCTGCTTTGGGAGATAAATCCGTAATCTATGTGTTAGCTGATTGGATTTCTAAGCCTATATGGCTGTGGACCAGAACCTCACCCTGGTGAATCACCAAGGTAAGACTATGCCACAGAGGAACTTTTGGGGTCCACAAAAACTCCCTGACTGGCTGATTGTCTGTATCCTTCCTACTGAGACTTCTAAAGTTATCAGGCCTAGTGAAGATTACATCTGTGTTCGAGGAATAGCAGGATAAAATTATGTTCGGGATTTTGGTTTGGAGTTAGAGAGACTTAGTGTACATCCTTCCATTTTTACCTGAAACAAATTGTCCAATATTTCTGTGCCTTAATCTTCTCATCTGTAAATTGAAGATAACAAGAATGTCTACTTGTTAGAATCATTAGAGAAAAAATGAAACAGCATGTTAAGTACTTCATGTAGTGCCTAACATAAATACATGCTCAATAACCACTAATTTCTCCATGAGTAGAGAAACTCAAACTGTTTTTTCTTCTTCTCTTACACAACAACCAGCACAGAAGAGTTCTGTGACCAATTTGTGGGGGGTTTTCCCCACAAACCCAGCAGGCAAGCGATTCTGCAACAGACACCAGCTGAATGTGGATGTCCTGTAATTTAATTCAATTCTGACACTACCTGGAGATAGCCTCAGATACCACAAGTTGAGGACTGCCTTTCAGATTTAAACCTCAGTTCCTAAGACTGCCCCCCAGCTTCTGAGGCCAATTGCAAGTTACAGGTTGTTTTACCTCTGCTTCTGACTGATCAGCTATAAATCAGAGACTCCATCACCCCCTCCTTGAATTCGATTAATTTACTAGAACAGCTCACAGAACTCAGGGAAACATTTACTTATGCTTACTGGTTTATTATAAAGGATATTATAGTCTGGGCACGGTGGCTGAAGCCTATAATCCCAGCACTTCGGGAGGCTGGGGCAGGTGGATCGCTGGAGGTCAGCAGTTCGAGACCAGCCTGGCCAACATGGTGAAACCCCATCTCCACTAAAAATACAAAAATTAGCCAGGCGTAGTGGCTCATGCCTGTAGTCCCAGCTACTTGGGAGACCGAGGCAGGAGAATCACTTGAACCCAGGAGGCAGAGGTTGCAGTGAGCTGAGATTGTGCCACTGTACTTCAGCCTGGGCGACACAGTGAGACTCTTGTCTATAAAAAAAAAAAAAGTATATTATAAAGGATACAGATGAAGAGATGAAGAGATGCATAGGACGAGGTACAGGAAAGGACACAGAACTTGCATGCCCTCCCCAGGCTTGCCACCCTCTGGGAACCTTCATGTGTTCAGCTATCTAGAAGTTCTCCAAACTCAGTTCTTTGGGGGTTTTATGGAAACTCCATTATGCAAGCACGATTGATTACACCTTTGGCCATTGGTGAGCAACTTAACTTTCAGCCCCTCTTCCCTCCCTGGAAGCTGGGGGCTGGGGCTAAAAGTCCCACCCCTCTAATTATGCCTTGGTCTTTCTGGTGACCAGCCCCTCACCATCAGTCATCTCACTAGCATACAAAACCCATCACTTTGGAAACTGTAAGGCTTTTTTAGAAGTTGTAGGTCAAGAAATGGGGTTGAAAACCAAATATATGTATTACAATATCACACTCCTTTTTTATAGCTCTCACTAGATGTTAGGTATTGTGCTAAGCACTGATAAACTTGCCCAAAGTCAAACACTTGGCAAGTGGTAGAACCAGGAGTTGAACCAGGCCAAAGCTTATGTATTTGACTAATGGGCTAAACTGTCTCTGATGGTTTAACAAATACAGCAAAACTTGCAGTTCCAAAGTGTTTTGTGCCTTTTAAAGGAATAGATTTGGAAGAATATATATTTATTCTTAAGTTTACTTGAAGCTCTTCTTTTGGAATTACCTGAGAAATCCTTGATATATTTTTTGAACATCCTTAACAAGGGCAAATTTTTGTTCTTTAAGATTTGATCTTCTTAATTACCAAAAGTTGCTTAGTGACAAACACAGTAAATAAGTTGGAAAATCACAATAGATATTTTAGTCCATTTTTTTGTTGCTGTAACTGAATATCTGAGACTTGAGAATTCATGAAGGACAGAGGTTTATTTTTTACAGTCTGGAGGCTGAGCAATCCAAGAGCATGGTGCCAACATTCAGTGAGGCATCTCGGCATCATAGCATGGCGGAGGGCATCAATCACATGGTGAGAGGGCAAGAGCATGCATGTCAGCTCAGGCCTCTCTTCCTCTTTTTTTTTTTTTTTTTTTTAATCTTTCCGAGACAGTGTCTCACTCTGTCGCCCAGGCTGGAGTGCAGTGGCGCGATCTCAGCTCATTGCAACCTCCACCTCCTGGGTTCAAGCAATTCTCCTGCCTCAGCTTCCCGAGTAGCTGGGATTACAGGCATGCACCACCACGCCCGGCTTCTTTTTTTTTTTTTTTTTTTTTTTGAGACAGAGTCTCGCTCTGTCGCCAGCCTGGAGTGCAGTGGCGCGATCTCAGCTCACTGCAACCTCTGCCTCCTGGGTTCAAGCGATTCTCCTGCCTCAGCCTCCCGAGTAGCTGGGATTACAGGCATGCACCACAGTGCCTGGCTAATTGTGTATTTTTAGTAGAGACGGGGTTTCTATATGTTGGTCAGGCTAGTCCCAAACTCTCGACCTCAGGTGATCCGCCCGCCTCGGCCTCCCAAAGTGCTGGGATTACAGGCTTGAGCCACTGTGCCCGGCCATTTTTTGGTATTTTTAGTAGAGATGGGGTTTCACCATATTGGCCAGGCTGGTCTGGAACTCCTGAACTTTTTTTTTTCTTTTTTTTTTTTTTTTTTTTTTTTTTTTGAGACAGAGCCTTGCTCTGTCGCCCAGGCTGGAGTGCAGTGGTGCGATCTCAGCTCACTGCAAACTCCGCCTCCCAGGTTCACACCATTTTCCTGCCTCAGCCTCCCGAGTAGCTGGGACCACAGGCACCCGCCACCACGCCTGGCTAATTTTTTTGTATTTTTTAGTAGAGACGGGGTTTCACAGTGTTAACCAGGATGGATCTCCTGACCTCGTGATCTGCCCGCCTTGGCCTCCCAAAGTGCTGGGATTACAGGTGTGAGCCACCGCGCCCGGCCTGGAACTCCTGACTTTATAATCCACCTGCCTTGCCTCCCAAAGTGCTGAGATTACAGGCGTTAGCCGCCACGCCTGGCCCTCTTCATCTTCTTTTAAAGCCACCCACCAGTCACATCATGGAGGCCCCACCCTGATGACCTAACCTATTATCTAATCCTGATTACATCCCAAAGGCCCCACTTCTAATCAACATATGCATTGGGGATTAAAGTTTGGAATACATAAAATTTGGGAGACACATTCAAATCATAGCAATAGGAAATACCATCTTTGGTGGAAAAACATGTGGCTTAGAAAGCAAGTCTATGGTTTTGATGGAAGTAGCAAAATACTTTATCATCACAAAGCGGTATCTATTGTTGCCAACTTTACTTTCCCATCACATTAGCCTTGTATTAGATGAAGTAAAGAAATATGAGTTTTTAAGTAAATTAGGTTAACCAGAAATGCATTAAATTGTTGTAAGTAAAAATTAATTAATGGATTAATATAAACATAAAGAAAAGTTTCCAAAGAAGGCTTTGTCCTTTTAATAATTCTGCAATTGACATGAATGAAGTCCTAGAAAGTGTGTTCATCAAACCTAGGAATCAAAGTTGGGAATAAGTGATTTTAAAAAAACAGAGAGAGTTTGAAAACTAAGTTTAACAAAGTTAAATGTAAGATCCTGCACTTCAAACTAAGAAAAAATAACTGCACTAGTACAAGATAAGGAATATAGCCTAACAGAAGTACATGAGAAAAATGCTTCTAAGTTTTAGTAGATGAGAACTTAATCGATGTTAATGACTTCCAAGAAAAATATTAAGATATTAGGCTGAATTAAAGGAAGCATAGACTCTAGAACAAAGGAGGGGACGCATCCACTCTACTCTGCTGGTTATTTCTAGAAACTACAATTTAAGAGGAATACGGTCAAATAAAAATGTATTCAGAAGAGAGTAATCACAATTATAAAAGAATATGAGAAATGTTAAATAGGGAGAAGACGTGTTGTTTGAAGATTAAAAAGAAAAAAAATACTGCTGGTAGGGATGGCATTGGCAGGGCACTGTGGCTTTATACTGTTAATCCTAGTACTTTGGGAGGCCAAGGTAGGAGGATCCCTTGAAACCAGCCTGAGCAACATAGCAAGACCTTGTGTCTACATTTTTTTTTAAGTTTCTTTAAATTGGGGGACATGATAGATTTCTTTTTTTTTTTTGAGATGGAGTCTCGCTCTGTCGCCCAGGCTGGAGTGCAGTGGCACGATCTCTGCTCACTGCAACCTCCGCCTCCTGGGTTCAAGCAATTCTCTGCCTCAGCCTCCTGAGTAGCTGGGAGTACAGGCACCCGCCACCACGCCCAGCTAATTTTTGTGTTTTTAGTAGAGACGGGGTTTCACCATCTTGGCCAGGCTGGTCTTGAACTCCTGACCTCGTAATCCACCCGCCTTGGCCTCCCAAAGTGTTGGGATTAATTGTCTGGGCTAAATAGCTGCAGTTTTGACTCTTGGACAGAGGGATTTCCTGGTGTGTGGGACTTATTCCAGTTTTAGCATTGGGAATGTCCCAGCAAACTGAAAAGAGTTGATTACCTCTGAGCTGAGGGAATTTTAAATAAAATGGGTCCATTAAGACATGATTGAGACAAACATAAAAGATATGCAGAGAGTCAAACCTTCTTTGTTTTTTGTTTGTTTGTTTGTTTGTTTTTGAGACAGAGTCTTGCTCTGTTGCCCAGGCGGCAGTGCAGTGGCATAATCTCCGCTCACTGCAGTCTCTGCCTCCCAGGTTCAAGTGATTCTCCTGCCTCAGCCCCTGGAGTAGCTGGGATTACAGGCATGCTATCATGCCCAACTAAGTTTTGTATTTTTAGTAGGGACGGGGTTTCACTGTGCTAGCCAGGATGGTCTGGATCTCCTGACCTCGTGATCCGCCCATCTCAGCCTCCCAAAGTGCTGGGATTACAGACGTGAGCCACCACACCCAACCTGTCAAACCTTCTTTGAACCAACATATGAATAAATGAAGGCATTAACTTTTCTCTCCCATGTGAGTGAAATTTGTAGATATTTGAAGCTTACTCTTCAAATGCCAACAAATGTATACATACTAGATTTAAAATGTCCTGAGACACGTTAAGTATAGTTCCCTATGCTGTTTATCAAAGAATATAAAAAATAGATTTGCCTTTTTTGTTTGTTTTTTGAGATGGAGTTTCGCTCTTGTTGCCCAGGCTGGAGTGCAATGGCGAGATCTCGGCTCAGCGCTACCTCCGCCTCCTGGGTTCAAGCGATTCTCCTGCCTCAGCCTCCTGAGTAGCTGGGATTACAGGCATGCGCCATCACGCCCGGCTAATTTTGTATTTTTAGTAGAGACGGGGGGGTTTCTCCATGTTGGTCATGCTGGTCTCAAACTTCTGACCTCTGACCTCAGGCGATCTGCCTGCTCAGCCTCCCAAAGTGCAGAGAGTATAGGCGAGAGCCACTGCACCCGGACTTTTTTTTGGGACAGAGTCCCCATTAAAGTCATTCTCTTAAATCCATAGTACTCCCCTAAGGTGTCCCCTTAGAGAGAGTAAATGCTTCAGAAAAACAGATAAAGTCAAGAATACTGGCATCATTCACGTGTCTATTTGAAAGCTGAGAATTTTTTAAAAATCTCGCCAGTCCAAAGTAAACCTATTTGAAAGTGACCACTGAGAGTTGGCCTCCTGTCTAAAGGTTTAGCTGTAAGTAAACAATCTAAAAAAAAAAAAAAGAATTAAAGACCTTGTTTTTGTTTTTGATCACACTGTTCAAAGAAAGTCTTTTGTGGGTGAAAGTTCACTAGGCTGAAATAATAGAAACATTGGAGAGTGGAATATGACCTTTACCCTTAAAGCAGGGGGCCTTAGTTTATTTTTGCTAGCTTCCTTCATGGGAGAACGTGGACACTGCTTGTCTCACTTCTCAGAATATTTTGCAAGTTGATATTTGATATGAGGAGAACCAACCGAAGAGAATATGTTAAGCAGTTGGGCATCTACTAGGTCTAGGAAAACTGGGAAGAAATTTCAGGAGGGCTGGTCTTCACTTGGCAAATAACCTCCCAAATCATCTATAATGATTACAAAGCAAAAGGAAGCTGGGTGCAGTGGCTCATGCCTGTAATCCCAGCACTTTGGGAGGCCGAGGCAGGCAGATCACGAGGTCAGGAGTTGGAGACCAGCCTGGCCAACATAGTGAAACCCCATCTCTACTAAAATACAAAAATTAGCCGGGTGTGGTGGCATGTGCTTGTAGTCCCAGCGACTTGGGAGGCTGAGGCGGGAGAATCACTTGAACCCGGGAGGTGGAGGTTACAGCGAGCTGAGACCACGCCATTGCACTCCAGCCTGGGTGAGAGTGAGACTCCCTCTCAAAAAAACAACAACAAAAAAGAAGGCTGGGTGCGGTGGCTCACACCTGTATTCCCAGTACTTTGGAAGGCAGAGGCGGGTGGATCACATATGGTCAGGAATTTGAGACCAGCCTGACCAACATGGCGAAACCCATCGCTACTGAAAATACAAAAAATTAGCCAGGCGTGGTGGCGCACACCTGTAATCCCAGCTACTCGGGAAGCTGAGGCAGGAGAATCACTTGAACCCAGGAGGCGGAGGTTGCAGTGAGTTGATATCGTGCCGTTGCACTCCAGCCTGGGCAACAAGAGTGAAGCTCTGTCTCAAAAAAATAAAATAAAAAATAAATAAAAATAAAAAGCAAAAGGAAAAAAGTAAGAGGAATTTTTCCACTCCCATAGCTCTGTATCTATCTTGCTACAGATTGCTATAAAAACCACCAGAAGCCAGGCGCAGTTGTTCATGCCTGTAATCCCAGCACTTTGGGAGGCCGAGGCAGGCAGATCACGAGGTCAGGAGATCGAGACTATCCTGGCTAACACAGTGAAACCCCATCTCTACTAAAAATACAAAAAAATTAGCTGGGTGTGGTGGCACGTGCCTGTAATCCCAGCTATTTGGGAGGCTGAGGCATGAGAATCGCTTGAACCCAGAGGTGGAGGTTGCAATGAGCTGAGCTGAGATCACGCCACTGCACTCCAGCCTGGGCGACAGCGAGACTCCGTCTCAAAAAAAGAAAAAAAAAAAAAAAGAGAAACCACCCAGAACTGAAAAAGAGAATATAGCTATTCTGACCCATTCCCTGATTTAAACCTTACTTTTGAAACTTTACTCAAGAGATAGCAACATAAACTTAATCCTTCCTTAATGAGCCTCTAAATTAAGGGAGGTCACAATTACAATTTCAAGAGCATAAAGGTAATTATTAATACATGCCCATGAGTTTGCCTATGTGTTTTGGTTGGGGCAATGATATGTCCTAAATTATCTGGAAAGGTCCAGATTTCATATTTTATCTCATAAGTCCTTTATTCCACAGATCATGAAGTTCAAAAATTTTTCAGTTGGAAACTATGATTATTTTAGTTATAGTCTCATAAGCTCTATTAAGAGTAATGATAAGCATGGCTGGGTGTGAAGGCTCACACCTGTAATCTCAGCACTTTGGGAGGCCGAGGAGGGTGGATCACCTGAGGTCAGGAGTTCGAGACCAGCCTGGCCAACATGGTGAAACCCAGTCTCTACTAAAAATACAAAAATCAGCTGGGTGTGGTGTCATGCGCCTGTAATCCCAGCTACTTGGGAGGCTGAGGCAGGAGAACGGCTTGAACCCCGGAGGCAGAGGTTGTAGTGAGCTGACATCCTGCCTCTGCACTCCAGCTTGGGTGACAGAGCAAGACTCCATCTCAAAAAAAAATAATAATAATGATAAACAAAGCTGTTGTAAGCTAAGAAAAGGCTGTTGAAAAGCAAATAGTCATCTTCCATCCTCTTATAAGATTTTGAAATTATTTATTATTATTATTATTATTATTTTTTGAGACGGAGTCTCGCTCTGTCGCCCAAGCTGGAGTGCATTGGCGATCTCAGCTCACTGCAAGCTCCGCCTCCCGGGTTCAGGCCATTCTCCTGCCTCAGCCTCCCGAGTAGCTGGGACTACAGGCGCCAGCCACCATATCCGGCTAATTTTTCGTATTTTTAGTAGAGACAGGGTTACACTGTGTTAGCCAGGATGGTCTTGTTCTCCTGACCTCATGATCCGCCCGTCTCGGCCTCCCAAAGTGCTGGGATTACAGGTGTGAGCCACCGCGCCCGGCCCCCTTATAATATTTTACCAACGTAGTAACAGTCATATCCCCTATGTGGTTTTAATGCACACTAAAAGAATAGGGGGCTGGGCATGCCTGTAATCTCAACACTTTGGAAGGCCGAGGCGGGCGGATCACGAGGTCAGGAGTTCCAGACCAGCCTGGGCAACATGGTGAAACCCCATTTCTACTAAAAATACAAGAATTAGCCAGGCGTTGTGGCGCATGCCTGTAATCGCAGCTACTCGGGAGGCTGAGGCAGGAGAATCACTTGAACCTGGGAGGTGGAGGTTGCAGTGAGCTGAGATCGTGCCACTGCACTCCAGCCTGGTCGAGAGAGTGAGACTTTGTCTCAAAAAAAAAAAAAAGAATACCACTTAGCATGACTACTGCTAGAATTAGCCTCTCTCCTTACTCTAGTGTAGGTGGAGAGGTGGAGGGTTATTGGTTTATGTCCCTTCAGAGTTATCACCCTAGTACTTGGAAACTGCATGCTGTTCCCAGGAGCATCATATGCTCTCCCCCAACCATCTGCTCCATCATGGGTCCCCACTCACTTAATTGCAGATCACTGCCCCAAACTCCTGGACACACTTTCTTTTGTAGGATATTATTCCCTGTGATGGGTGTAGCAAAAGAGTAAATGTGAGGCAAGGCACATTTTTCTTTAATTCTTTATCCCCTCATTCTCCACACCTTCACCACATAAGATAGTATAAGTCTATTAGACTTAGTGAATCGTTGAAGTAACTTAAGGAAATAATATTTTAGGAAGAGGGAAAAATTAAACATAACACAGTCTGCTCTGGTTGCACAATTATAGTGCATTTGATAGGTAGGAGCTCTATTTAAGCTGTCTTCCTAGAAGTCCCATCAATACTTTCACTTAATCTCATTCATTAGGAACCTAGACTCATGGCCACACAGACTCACTGCTTTAAGAATAAAGTCTGTGTTCCACTCTCAAATTTCTCATGTCACTATGGTTTTAGCTTAATGAACTTTTACCACAAAGGCTCTACAAGGGAGGCGAGCAAAATGAGTCCCTTGCCCTGCAACTACCACCATAAAAGGAAGTCAGGTGTTGGGAAACAAAATGAGATTAGTCATACTAATGGATCAAGTTATGGATTTTTTGTACATCCAAGTTTTAGAGTATCAGTGATGGTCTTGCTAAATGACCTTTCTGATTGTCCCAGGAAAGCTATCAAGATATTACTTCCTTCCCAGGGGGTTGCCTTGTAGAAAACCTAATTTATAATCTTTTTACCCTACCCACAGGTCTGACAGTCCTGCCATTTCCTAACTTCTCCTGTGTGGTCATCCACCTACCTTTGGGAACCTCCAGTCA
Organism: Homo sapiens; assembly: GCF_000001405.40. NCBI lineage: Eukaryota > Metazoa > Chordata > Mammalia > Primates > Hominidae > Homo > Homo sapiens. The sequence continues at coordinate 100,616 of NW_009646196.1, forward strand.
TTACTCACAGAGTTGGTCTCATCCTGGGAACTCTCTCTTGCCTCTCCCAGTGGTTCATTCTCCAAGTCTGAGTTATTTGGTCAAAAAAACCTCCAAATGCTTCAGACAACTCTCGCAAACTTGTCATAGCTTTTGGTATTCCAGGCCACAGAAGAGCCCAGGTGGGTACATGGGCCCTCCAAGTGTTTGTTTCCTCACCACTGTGAGTGACAAATATGCTTCTTTATCCTTAAAATTGTCCAGCCAGTAACTGTTGGAACACACTGACCTAGATCCACACATGCAAACACACCTTTCAAGGGCAAATGTTAATTCACAAAGACAATTGTAAAATCTAAGCTAAAGTTCACAAATGGGAGCTGCCTTTGAAGTGAATTCAGCCCACAGACATCTTTGATTAGCACCGTGTGTTGTTGTTGTTGCTGTTTTAAATTTTTTTTTTTTTTTTTTTTTTTTGAGACAGCGTTTTGCTCTTGTTGCCAAGACTGGAGTGCAATGGCGCGATCTTGGCTCACAACAACCTCTGCCTCCTGGGTTCAAGCAATTCTCCTGCCTCAGCCTCCCGAGTAGCTGGGATTACAGGCATGTGGCACCATGCCTGGCTAATTTTGTATTTTTAGTGCAGACGGGGTTTCTCCATGTTGGTCAGGCTGTTCTCGAACTCCTGACCTCAGGTGATCCACCCACCTCGGCCTCCCAAAATGCTGGGATTACAGGCATGAGCCACCAAGCCCAGCCCTTAAAATTATTTTTAATGTCTTTAGAAGAGGCATGCAATTTCGGATGGGTGCAGCACTCACGACTGTAATCCCAGCACTTTGGGAGGCCGAGGTGGGTGGATCACCTGAGGTCAGGAGTTGGAGACCAGCCTGGCCAACATGGTGAAACCCCATCTCTACTAAAAATACAAAAATTAGCTGGCCATGGTGGCGGGCACCTGTAATCCCAGCTACTTGGGAGGCTGAGGCAGGAGAATTGCTTGAACCCAGGAGGCGGAGGTTGCAGTGAGCCTAGATCACGCCATTGCACTGAAGCCTGGGCGACAAGAGCAAGACTCCATCTTAAAAAAAAAAAAAAAAAAAGAGGCATGCAATTTCCATTCCCCACCCCCCACAGTCTCTACTCCTCCCTATTATATCTAATTGCTTCACCCATGTATAGTATAGCCTGTCCTCTGAAATAATTGGAGTTTAAGATCCCTGAATCTAAACCTGTAAGCAGGAAAATAGATATTTTCCTAATGCCCTATAATACATAAACATGTTTCCATTTTCTCCTTCTGCTTTTATTTTTATTTTTATTTTTTTGAAATGGAGTCTCACTCTGTTGCCCAGGCTGGAGTGCAGTGGTGCAATTTCGGCTCACTGCAACCCCACCTCCCGACTTCAAGCCATTCTTCTGCCTCAGCTTCCCGAGTAGCTGGGACTACAGGCACCTGCCACCTAGTAGAGGTAGGGTTTCACCATGTTTGCCAGGCTGGTCTCAAACTCCCAACCTCAGGTGATCCACCCATCTCGGCCTCTGAAAGTGTTGGGATTACAGGTGTGAGCCACTGTGCCTGGCAAGAAGGAACATTTATGGGTGCTTGGGTGTAGTAGTTAAGAGTGGTTCCACAGAGGCCGGGCGCAGTGGCTCACACCTGTAATCCCAGCACTTTGGGAGGCCAAGGTAGGCGGATCGCCTGAGGTTGGGAGTTCGAGACCAGCCTGGACAACATGGTGAAACATGGCGAAACCCCCTCTCCACTACAAATACAAAAACTTAGCTGGGCGTGGTGGCAGGCGCCTGTAATCCCAACTACTCGGGAGGCTGAGGCAGGAGAATCACTTGAACCCAGGAGGTGGAGGTTGCAGTGAGCCGAGATTGTGCTATATAGCACTTCAGCCGGGGCGAAAAGAGTGAAACTCCGTCTCAAAATAAATAAATAAACAAATATGGAAAGGGGGATGGCTAGAATGAACTCTGCAGTGCTGGATCAGAATTGGAAATATCAATGGGAGCACATAGTTTTATAAATTTGTGTGTGTGTGTGTGTGTGTGTGCGCGCGCGCATATGTGTGCATTTGTGTATTAGTGTGATAGTCTGTCCTCTGAAAGGGCCTACAAGCCATGATACTCCAGTACAAATTAGTACACCTAGAACCCAGATTGTTCTAAATACAATTCTCCCTAAAGGAACCAGGGCTTTTTTTTTTTTTTTTTTTTTTTTTTTGAGACAAGAGTTTTGCTCTTGTAACCCAGGCTGGAGTGCAATGCCACAATCTTGGCTCCTTGCAACCTCCGCTTCCAGAGTTCAAGCAATTCTCCTGCCTCAGCCTCCCAAGTAGCTGGGATTACAGGCGCCTGCAACCACGCCAGGCTAATTTTTGTATTTTTAGTAGAGACTGGTTTCACCATGTTGGCCAGGCTGGTCTCAAACTCCTGATCTCAGGTGATCCACCCGCCTCAGCCTCCCAAAGTGCTGGGATTACAGGCATCAGCCACCGTGCCTGGCCTTTTTTTTTTTTTTAAGACGGAGTCTCGCTCTGTTGCCAAGCTGGAGTGCAGCAGCGCGATCTTGGCCACTGCAACCTCCGCCTCCCTGGTTCAAGTGATTCTCCTGCCTCAGGCTCCCGAGTAGCTGGGATTCTGGGATTACAGGTGCCTGCCACCATGCCCAGCTAATTTTTTTGTATTTTTAGTAGAGACGGTGTTTCACCATGTTGGCCAGGCTGGTCTCGAACTCCTGACCTCAGGTGATCCACCCTCCTCGGCCTTCGAAAGTGCTGGGATTACAGGCATGAGCCATGGCGCCCGGCCAGAGGAAGAGGATATTTACATAGTCTCAGAGTATCTCCTCACAAGATATTTGTTAACTATTAAGGGAAAAGTAAAGGCCAGGTGCAGTGGCTCATGCCTGTAATCCCAGCACTTTGAGAGGCTGAAGTAGGCAGATCACGAGGTCAGGAGTTCAAGACCAGCCTGGCCAACATGGTGAAACCCCCATCTCTACTAAAAATACAAAAAAAATTAGCTGGTGTGATGGTGGGCGCCTGTAATCCCAGCTACCTGGGAGGCTGAGGTGGGAGAATTGCTTGAACCCGGGAGGCAGAGGTTGCAGTGAGCTGAGATCGTGCCACTGCACTCCTGCCTGGGTGACAGAGCAAGACTCTGTCTCAGAAAAAAAAAAAAAAAAGGAAAAATAGTCCTTTTAAAGTGAAGAAACCTGGTAGACATCCCCTTAACCAAGTAATCAAAGTTAACTTCAACAGTAATGGAACAAGTCAACTAATATTATGTAGGGGTCACAACATCACTTCTGTGCTATTCCTGCTAAGAATGCATAACCTGAATGTAATCGTGAAGAAACATCAGACAACCCAAGTTAGGGGACACTCTATAAAACAACTGGCCTGTAACTCCTCAAATATGTCAAGGTTGTGAAAGACGAAGTGTGGAAAATTCTATTCCAGATTGAAGGAGACTAAAGACACTTGACAACTGAACACAATGTATGATATAGAATTTATTTTACCATAATGGACATTATTGGAACATTTGAGCAAATTCAAATGAGGTCTGTAGGTTAGAAAATATTATTGAATCAATATTGATTTCTTAATTTTTATAATTGTGGTTATGAAAGAGAATATCCTTGTTTTTAGAAAATATACACTGGCGGGGCGTGGTGGCTCACTCCTGTAATCCCAGCACTTTGGGAGGCCGAGGCGGGCAGATCACGAGGTCAGGAGTTTGAGACCAGCCTGGCCAACATGGTGAAACCCTGTCTCTACTAAAAATACAAAATTAGCTGGGCATGGTGGCATATGCATGTAGTCCCAGCTACCTGGAGGCTGAGGCAGGAGAATAGCTGGAATCCAGGAGGCAGAGGTTGCAGTGAGTTGAGATCACGCCACTGCACTCCAGCCTGGGTGACAGAGCAAAACTCTGTCTCAAAAAAAAAAAAAAAAACAAAGAAAAGAAAATATCCACTGAAGTGCTTAATGGAAAGGGGCATCATGTCTGTAAGTTATTATCAAACAGAAACAAGTTCAGAAAAAAATTATGCACATACACATGCACAGAAATACAGTGAGAGAGAGAGAGCAAGTGTGCAGTAGGTATTAGCCTAGGTTGCTAGGAGAATTAAAGTTAACAAGCAATTAATTCATGACTAACACCAGAAACTTGGAGAATATGCCCAATGACCTTTTATCAAGTGCCCAGTGCCAATTTATCACTTAAGATAGCACTCCACATGGCAGAAAGACTTAAACGCCAGTAAGTCACTCTGTATGTTTGGGACATCTATAGAACACTTTTTTTTTTTTTTTTTGAAAACTCCTCTAGCAAAAAAATGTTTAAACTTTCATCTTCACGTTGGGTGATTGCAGTCATAAATTTCACACAATGATCCTGCTTGTATCATAGAATAACCCATTTTCTGATGAACAGGTTGAATCCAAATAAATTCCAAACACGTGTATAATGTAGAGTTAAAACATTTTAGACTCAAAGCTCAAAGCTAATTAAGAACCGGCATGGGCCACAGTTTGAACCAGCACCAACTTGTCTTTGCTCTGTTATTGGTTTGCTGTCTTTGCCTGTTATTCCATATCACTTGCTGGAAGGAAGCAGCCATACTGAAATACAAATTTTGTTTGTTTCTTTTTTAAAAAAGGAAACAAATAGATGGTTTATTCTAAGAATGTACAGGAACTTATATTCTAAACGTCCATAAATGCATATTCTAGGGACTCTTATCATCTCAGAACCCTACTACAGATTCTCTTTAATCTTTTTAAACATCCTGTTACATAAATTGCAGCTGTATCTATAGCAGGAAGAACAATAAGATAATAACTGGTCAAACATCAAAAGCACTTGGGTGGGTCTTCCACAAACATTTAGTCTTCTCTCCCACCAACACCATGTTCTTAGATTTTTTTTCCAACCACATTAATGTATTTTTTGTTTGTTTGTTTCTTCTTTTTCCTTTCCCCTGAGTAATTACTATGAATTTTTGCCAGGTCAAGAATTCTTCCCAGAAACAAACCCCAAGTATTAAAAAAAATCAAACAAACAGTACCTGAAGATAAGATGTACTCTTTCCAGGCCCACCCCCTCCCTTTGATTTCTTTCTCCAGATTGAGTGGGTTTAATTGGAATTGCACGTCCTCAGCGTTTCATGAAGGACAGATTTTCTATCTGACCTATGACCTGCTAGGAATTCCCTATTAACTTTCATGGGATGAATTTGGAATTGTCCTTACCACTCAGTATTTACTAAGTAAGAAATCACACAAACTCTTATGCAGGCTGTGAATCTAATGTATGTATACATATAGCAAGCATTTCTTGATGATAAAATGTTAGAGTTATGGTCGGGCACAGTGGCTCATGCCTGTAATCCCAGCACTTTGGAAGGCCCAGGCGGGTGAATCACTTGAGGTCAGGAGTTCAAGACCAGCCTGGCCAATATGGTGAAACCCCGTCTCTACTAAAAATACAAAAATTAGCCAGGTGTGGTGGTGCACGCCTGTAGTCACAGCTACTCAGGAGGCTGAAGCAGGAGAATGGCTTGAACCCAGGAGGCGGAGGTTGCGGCGAGCCAAGATTATACCACGGCACTACAGCCTGGGTGATAGGGCAAGATTCTGTCTAAAAAAAAAAAAAAAGTTAGAGTTAGGAAGAGTTTTAGAGGTCATTCAACTTGACGTCTTTTCCATAACTTTTTTTGTCAAATGGTTGCAAGCCAAAAACTCAGTTGTTATAACAAGGAGCTCCATATGGTGTTGGGCAGCTCAATCTATTGCTGGACAGCTCTCATCATAACCCTTGCTTCTTCCTGTGGTTCTCTGGAGCCTCACAGAATATGTCTACCTCTCTTCCATATGACAACCCTTCACACACTGGTAGCTGCTAATTTGTGCCAATTAAGCTGTCACCAGGTCTCATAATGATTTTTCAGATCACATTGGGAAACGCATGAACATCCAAAAGTTAATGTTTAACTCTGGAAGGTAAGATTATGGTTATGTTTTTACTTTCTTGTTTATATGTAAATTCTAAGTTTCACAATAAATATTTAATAGTGCAAACATTTGGCCGGGCATGGTGGCTCACGCCTGTAATCCCAGCACTTTGGGAAGCCGAGGCGGGAGGATCACCAGGCCAGGGGTTTGAGACCAGCCTGGCCAACAAGGCAAAACCCTGTTTCTACTAAAAATATGAAAATTAGCCAAGCGTGGTGGTGGGTGCCTGTAGTCCCAGCTACTCGGGAGGCTGAGGCAGGAGAATCTCTTAAACCCTGGAGGCAGAAGTTGCAGTGAGCCGAGATCATGCCACTACACTCCAGCCTGGGCAACAGAGCGAGACTCCATCTCAAAATAATAATAATAATAAGAAGAAGAAGAACATTTTTATTGAGCTTATTCTAGATGCCACTTCCTTTTAAAAAAGGAAACAAATAGATGGTTTGTTTTAATTACTCTACAATAACCCTGAGGGATAAGCACTGTAATTATCCCCATTGTACAGATGAGGAAACTGGGGCATAGAGGGATTAAGTAATTTTCCCAAGGCCGCACAGCTAAGTAAGTGGCTGATATGATATTGGAACCCAGGTTTGCCTGATTTTTAAGTATTCCTCTTTTTTTTTTTTCTTTGAGACAAGGTCTCACTTCGTCACCCAGGCTGGAGTGCAGTGGTGTGATCACTGCTCACTGCAGCCTAGATTTCCTGGGCTCAAGTAGTCCTCCCACTTCAGCTTCCCAAGCAGATGGGACCACAGGCATGAGCCACCATACCCAGCTAATTCTTTTTTTCTCTGTTAGAGATAGGGTCTCCCTATGTTGCCCAAGCTGCTATCAAACTCCTGGGCTCAAAGGATCCTCCCACTTCAGCCTCCCAAATTGTTGGAGCCACCGTGCCTGGCCAGCCTCCCAAAGTGTTGGAGCCAGCTTCCTAAGGTGTGAGCCACCGTGCCTGGCTGACCATTCCTCTTATAAGAAAAACAATTTATTTATTTTGGCAGCAACAAGTAGGGCGTTATTTGTTTTGTTTTGTTTTTAGTGTGGTGTCCAGAAATTAATAGAATATGCTAGATTTGATGTGAACAGCATAAAGCACACTGGGATTATTATGTCCTTTGATTTGGTGACAGTATAATATATCAATGCCCCTAAGACTGCATTTGATTTTTTACCTGTAATACAAGATTACCGGCTCATACAGAGATTACAAAAAATCCTCTGGTTCTTATTTTACTTTTTCTTTCTCCCTTGACTCTACCATCCCCCGTCTTCATCTACTACCCCATCACCTGTCCCCTCCACCCCCATAATCAATTTATCAACCTAGTTGTTAATATTTTTCTCTATGCTCATATAATCACATATAGACAAATACAAATGCACACATATTCAATGCAGTTTTTTTTGTCATTTAAAAAGTGACTACTTTTTTGCCTTTTACTCAAAACATTTTTGTGTGTAAAATCCCTCTAAGTCAACTGGTAGAGTACAAATTCATTCCTCTTTATGGATGTGCCAAAATGTGAATGTACTATAATTTTTACAACCATCACTCTATTGATGGACATCCATAGTATTCACAATTTGTGTGTGTGTGTTGCCACTTAAAATGCTGCAACAAATGTCCTTGTACATACGTCCTATAGTGTTTTTACTCCAATAGTTTTATTGAAACTAATGGTTTTTTTCAGAGGATAGATTCCCAGGACTGTAATTGCTGGGTCAAAGGGTATATATATTTTTATTTGTTTTTTATTTTATTTTATTTTATTTTATTTTATTTTATTTTATTTTATTTTATTTTATTTTATTTTTTGAGACCAAGTCTCACTCTATCGCCCAGGCTGGGGTGCAGTTGCACAATCTTGGCTCACTGCAACCTCTGCCTCCCGGGTTCAAGTGATTCTCCTGCCTCAGCCTCCTGAGTAGCTGGGATTACAGGCACGCGCTATCACGCCCGGCTAATTTTTGTATTTCTAGTAGAGACAGGGTTTCACCATGTTGGCCAGGCTGGTCTCAAACTCCTGACCTCAGGTGATCCACCCTCCTTGGCCTCCCAAAGTGCTGAGATTACAGGGGTGAGCCACCGCACCTGGCCAAAGGGTATATTTAAAATAATAGCTGTTGCCAGACTGCTTTCCAAAAAGGCTATAACACTTCATATTTCAGTAGCAGCACATGAAAATACCCCTTGCCCCCATCCCTGCAGCAATAGGTGTTATAGTGTATTCAGTAGCCATTCTAACAAAAACTGTGAAAGAAAATCAAAAGAAACTACTTCAACATAATAAAAACTATTTACCCCAAATGAAAAGCAACTATGATACTAACTGGCAAAATGTTAAAATTCTTTTATTCAAAATCAGGAACTACACAGGAGTTTTTAGTTAAGGCCAGGTGCGGTGGTGGTTCACACCTGTAATCCCAGCACTTTGGGAGGCCGAGGCGGGTGGATCACGAGGTCAGGAGATTGAGACCATCCTGGCTAACACGGTGAAACCCTGTCTCTACTAAAAATACAAAAAATTAGCCAGGCATGGTGGTGGGTGCCTGTAGTACCAGCTATTCGGGAGGCTGAGGCAGGAGAATGGCGTGAACCTGGGAGGCGGAGCTTGCAGTGAGCTGAGATTGCGCCATTGCACTCCAACCTGGGCGACACAGCAAGACTCCATCTCAAAAAAAAAAAAAAAAAGAGTTTTTAGTTAAATAAATCTCCCAAGTCTATTTCACTCTTAACTTTAAAATTAACATATAATAGGCCAGGCACCGTGGCTTACACCTGTAATCCCAGCACTTTGGGAGGCCCAGGTGGGCAGATCACCTGAGGTCAGGAGTTCGAGACCAGCCTGGCCAACATGGTGAAACCTCGTCTCTACTAAAAATACGAAATTAGCCGAGTGTGGTGGCACATGCCTGTAATCACAGCTACTTGGGAGGCTGAGGCAAAAGAATCACTTGAACCTGGGAGGTGGAGGTTGCAGTGAGCTGAGATCACACCATGGCACTCCAGTCTGGGCAATAAGAGCAAAACTCCATCTAAAAAAAATAATTAATTAATTAACATAATACACATATAAAATGTGCACAAATCCTAAGTGCACACATCAATGATCAATGAATTTTTGCAAAGCAAACATATTTATATAACTACCACATAGGTCAAGAAAGTTATTACCAGCACTTCAGAAGCCTAACTCATGCCCCCTTCCTCCTTCCTATAGAGAACCAGTCCTGACTTTTAACACCACTGAATAGTTTTGCCTGGATTGGAAACATACATACATGTGGCATCATGCAATCTATACTCCTTTGTGTGTGTTTGGTTTATTTCTTTCAACATTTTCTTTGTGAAGTTTCTTCATGTTTCTGATAGCAGTAGTTCACTCACTTTCATTGCTGTACGATAGTTTATTGCTTGAATAATATACCACAATTCAATGTCCATTCTGTTGTTGATGAACTTTCAGGTCCTTCTGAATCTGAAACCCATCATCCAATATGTTAGCCATCAATACTCCCAGCTTTGTGTCATCAGAAATTTGGATGATCACAACATTTCTGATACAAATCATTGACTTTTAACTGTTTGACAGGACCAGACAGACTTGTATCAGCCAACTAGAGATCTCCCTTCAGGTTAACCTTAATACTAATAAATATTATTTGGACAAAATTTAGTTAGCTAAAACTGTAGCTATCTGTAGTATCATTCAATGTACCTTTCTGCATTTCAGAGGCCGAGATAGGAGATTCACTTGAAGCCAGGAGTTTGAGACCAGCCTGGACAACCTAGTAAGACCTCATCTCCACAAAAAATTTTAAAAATTAGCCAGGTGTTGTGGTACATGCCTGTAGTCTTAGCTACTTGGGAGGCTGTGGCAGGAGAATCACTTGAGCCCAGGAGTTTGAGGCTACAGTGAGCTATGGTCACACCTCCACATTCCAGCCTGGGCAACAGAGCAAGATCGCATCTTTAAAAAAAAAAACAAAAAACAGGCCAGGCACAGTGGCTCACGCCTGTAATCCCAGTATTTTGGGAGGCCGAGGCAGGCAGATCACAAGTTCAAGAGTTTGAGACCAGCCTGGCCAATATAGTGAAACCCTGTCTCTACTAAAAATACAAAAAAAAAATTAGCCGGTCGTGGTGGTGCATGGCTGTAATCCCAGCTACTTGGGAGGGTGAGGCAGGAAAATTGCTTGAACATGGGAGGCGGAGGTTGCAGTAAGCTGAGATCATGCCACTGCACCCCAGCCTGGGTGACAGAGCAAGACTCCATCTCAAAAAAAAAAGCAAAAAAAGGCTGGGTGCGGTGGCTCACGCCTGTAATCCCAGCACTTTGGGAGGCCGAGGTGGGCGGATCATGAGGTCAGGAGATCGAGACCACCCTGGCTAACACGGTGAAACCCTGTCTCTACTAAAAATACAAAAAATTAGCCGGGCATGGTGGCGAGCACCTGTAGTCCTAGCTACTCGGGAGGCTGAGGCAGGAGAATGGCGTGAACCCGGGAGGCGGAGCTTGCAGTGAGCCGAGATCACACCACTGCATTCCAGCCTGGGCGACAGAGCGAGACTCTGTCTCAAAAAAAAAAAAAAAAAAAAAAGCAAAAGAACCATAAGTATTTGTGGAGGTCTACTGAGTTCTAGGTACTGAGTGGGGTTAGAGAAGTGGAAAAAACAGACCACACCGAGACTCTCACGAAATTTACATTCTAGTTGATGAGATAGATGTAAATAAAAATTCAGGTCATTTTATGAGGAAAGTGAAATGGAGCAACACTAAACAGAATAATGAGGAGAAAGGCACACAACTTCTGAAGGCACTAGCCATGTGAAGACTGGGAGTATACCATTCCAGGCAGGGGAACAGCAAGCACAAAGTCCTTGAGGAAGGGATGGGCTTAAAAAAACAAGGAGGGCAGTGTACCTAGAGCAAAATGTGAACAAAGGCAAGTAGAGGAAAGGTAGACAGAAACTAGATTATGTAAGGTCTTGAAATTCTTTTATTTACTCACTTACTTTTTTAGAGATGGGGTCTCCCTGTGTCACCTGGGCTAGGGTACAGTGGCTATTCACAGGAGCAATCATAGCACACTGCAGCCTGGAACTCTGAAGCTCAAACAATCCTCACCCCTCAGCTTCCCAATAGCTGAGACTACAGACTCACACAATGTGCTTGGCAAGGCCTTTTATTCTAAATGCAGTGGTGAGATGGACAAGAGATGTACCATCCATATCCTCCTTTAAGGAAGGACTTGATGCCCAGATGTAAAGAGTGTAGTCACCAAACAGCCCTTTCAGAATCTGCCCCAGACACAGAGAGCCCCACTGCTTAAGGATATACCCTTCTTAGAGCAGATCGCTTCTAGAGACTAAGTGAGCAGGGTTATAAAGCCCCAGCTATTTTAACCTAACAATTCTGACGGATAATACTCGTTTTTCAGAGCTCCTTGATAGGTTGGCCAAGGCTATTTTTGGTCTGCATCACTGATTTCTTCCTCAGTCCAACTCAGATTTCTCTTTCTTCCTTGTCACAGATGTTAAACCTTAATAACATGTTGAATCCCAAACTCCACCTCTGCATCTGTGACAAACTTAACCTGTGACAAATGGGAAGCCATAAAAGGATTTTTTTTTTTTTTTTTTTTGAGACAGAGTTTCACTCTTGTTGCTCAGGCTGGAGTGCAATGGCATGATCTCAATCTTGGCTCACCGCAACCTCCGCCTCCCAGGTTCAAGTGATTCTCCTGCCTCAGCCTCCCTAGTAGCCTGCCTAGTAATAGGCATGTGCCACCATGCCCGGCTAATTTTGTATTTTTAGTAGAGACAGGGTTTCTCCATGTTGATCAGGCTGGTCTTGAACTCCTGACCTCAGGTGATCCACTCACCTTGGCCTCCCAAAGTGCTGGGATTACAGGCGTGAGCCACCGCGCCCGGCTGCCATTGAAGGATTTTTAAGCAAAGAATTCAAATGGCCTGATTTACATTTTAGATCACTCTAGCTGCTGTATAGAGGATGGACTGTGGGAAATAAAAGTGAAAACAAGACCAGTAGCAGTAGCCCAGGGGAGATGGTGGTGATTTGATCTAGGGAGGAGAAAGTGGGAAGTGGATGGATTTGGGATATAATTTGGTTGTAGAAGTGATAACTGCGCGGTGGCTCACGCCTGTAATCCCAGCACTTTAGGAGGCCGAGGCAGGCGGATCACCTGAGGTCAGGAGTTCGAGACCAGCCTGGCTAACATGGTGAAACCCCGTCTCTACTAAAAATACAAAAAATTAGCCAGGCGTGATGGCGGGCGCCTGTAGTCCCACCTACTCGGGAGGCTGAGGCAGGAGAATGGTGTGAACCAGGAGGCAGAGCTTGCAGTGAGCCTAGATAGCGCCACTGCACTCCAGCCTGGGTGACAGAGCGAGACTCCATCTCAAAAAAAAAAAAAAAAAGTGATAACTGGTTCATCCCAACCATTTTTATCAGTTACCTTGCAGAAAACAAATTTAGTGTGTTGAAGGAAACCAAAATATTTCTCGCTAAAATACTGGGGATTTTAGTTTAAAAGCTTAAAACACATGGGCACACTGCCCTTCCTAACTCTGCCTTCATCCGCTCAGAAACAGCTCAGCGGTGCCAGAGGATCCAGGAGCAGACTTTACTCTTCCCATTAATTTACCTTCCCACATTTTCCTGCCTTTTGGAAGCCTAAAGATACTCTTCTTTGTTTCAGCACTTCGTAAGATTCATGGCTCTGGCCAAGTACGGTGGCTCACGCCTGTAATCCCAGCACTTTGGGAGGCCTAGGCAGGTGGATTGCTTGAGGCCAGGAGCTCGAAACCAGCCTGTCCAACATGGCACTACCCTGTCTCTACTAAAAATACAAAAATCAGCCGGGCGTGGTGGCACACGCCTGTAACCCCAGCTACTCGGGAGGCTGAGGCGCAATAATCGCTTGAACCCAGGAGGCGAGGTTGCAGTGAGCCGAGATCATGCCACTGCACTCCAGCCTGGGCGACAGAGCAAGACTCTGTCAAAAAAAAAAAAAAAAAAAATTCATGGTTCTTTGTTAAAATACTATTTAAACAAGGTCCCTAAGCCACTGCCTGGAGAGAGAAATACTTTTGAACTGAGGCCTCTCCCACTTGATGGGTACAGCATGTTAATAAACTTGTTTTTCTTTTGTTAATCTGACGCTTGTTTTCAAGTGTCTCAACTAAGAACCTAAAAAGGGTAAAAAAAGAAATGATGTTTTCTCTCCAACAGTGTGTTTTTATTTCTTTCATCTACCTGTCCAGTAATCATTTTAAAAAAGAAAATAGCATTAGTTACTGCCTGTGTGATGTGGCCCCTGCTTATCTGCACTCTCCCTCCTGTTTACTGTTCCAGCCACCTCAGCTTTTTCTCTGTTCCTCTAGCATGGCAAGCTTATTCCTGCCTCATGACTCTTTCGCATGGTGTTTTCAGATTTTCTCTGTAGCACTCTGCACGCATTGTCCACCTAAATTCTATTCATCCCTCAGGTAGCAGTTTAAATACTGTGTCCCCACAGAGGATTTCTCTAGCACTGCCTCCTCTCCCAGTGAAGCTAGTTCCTGTAATTATGGGCTCACATAAATCCCTGGGTTTTCTTTTTTGGCACTTATCACAAGCTGTAATTATACCATACGTTTTATTATTTGTCTTCCTCACCAGAGTTCCACAAGGGGCAGGAATGTGCCTGTTTTGTTTTCTGCTTCATCCCTTGTGTCTTGCACAGTAACTATAACTCAGAATTTGCGCAACAAATATTTGCTGAATGAAAGAACTTGCCCGTAGCGGCCCCTTGTTAGTGCCTAGAGTCAATTTCTTTACATGCTCGTAAAACATCTTTTGATAATCCATGCCAAAATGTTCTAGAGATCATTGAAAATTTTCCTACTAGTTTTCAGAATGTAATTTTTTTCCACCTGGGGAACTTTTTTTTTTTTTTTTTTTTTTTTTTTTTTTGAGATGGAGCCTCCACCGTGTCTCTACTAAAAATACAAAAAATCTCTCACTGAGTCTCACTCTGTCACCCAGGCTGGAGTGCAGTGTCAAGATCTTGGCTCACTGCAACCTCCACCTCCCAGATTGAAGCAATTCTCCTGCCTCAGCCTCCCAAGTAGCTGGGTCTACAGGTGCCAGCCACCAGGCCCGGCTAAGTTTTTGTATTATTAGTAGAGACGGGGTTTCACCATGTTGGCCAGGCTGGTCTCGAACTCCTGACCTCGTGATCCATCCGCCTTGGCCTCCCAAAGTGCTGGGATTACAGGTGTGAGCCACCGTGCCCAGCCTGAGAACATTTTTTAAAATAAAGTTTGATTATTGTATTGTATACATATATATATATATATATATATATATATATATATATATATATATATATATTTTTTTTTTTTTTTTTTTTTTTTTTTTTTTGAGATGGAGTCTTGCTTTTGCCACCGTCCAGGCTGGAGTACAGTGGCACGATCCCGGCTCATTGCAACCTCCACCTTCTTGGTTCAAGGGATTCTCCTGCCTCAGCCTCCCAAGTAGCTGTGATTTCAGGTCCCGCCACCACGCCCAGCTAATTTTCAAATTTTTAGTAGAGATGGGGTTTCACCATGTTGGTCAGGCTGGTCTCAAATTCCTGACCTCAGGTGATCCACCCAGCTCGGCCTCCCAAAATGCTAGGATTACAGGCGTGAGCCACCACACCCAGCCTATATGGATGTAATTTTAAGGTAATACCAAATATTTATAACAACAACAAAACCCTACTCTATTCCACAGTCTTACTCTCTAGATATGCAACTACTTAAGCTAAGCAGGTTTGGTCAATCTCTATCTTTAAAGGAAGTCTTTTTTCATACTTAAAAAATCAAAGACATTTTACCCTCTGACCCTTTCCCCACTGTCAATAATTTCAATAGTATTTCCATTTGCGGTTTGCAACACCATTGGCAATTTCTTTCAGTATCTTTTAGTATTGGGGACTAGAAATTTTACTTTTTAAAAATTTATTTATTTCTTATTTTTTATTTTTCTTTTTTTTTTGGTAGAGATGGTGCCTCTCCATGTTACCCAGGCTGGTCTGAAACTCCTGGTCTCCCAAAGTACTGGGATTATAGGCGTGAGCCACCACACCTAGCCTAAATTTTAATTGTTTTAAAAGTAGCAGAATATCTCTTATTATCTCACCTCAATGGTGTTACATTTCTTTTCTTTTCTCTTTTTTTTTTTTGAGACAGGGTCTTGCTCTGTTGCCCAGGCTGGAGTGTAGTGGCACATTCGTAGCCTCAGCCTCCTAGGCTCAAGGGATACTCCTGCATCAGCCTCTTGAGACTACAGGTAAGTGTTCCCATGTTGAGACAGGGTTTCACCATGTTGGCCAGGCTGGTCTCAAATTCCTGACCTCAAGTAATCCACCGGCCTCGGCCTCCCAAAGTGCTGGGATTACAAGTGTGAGCCACCATGCTTGGCCTGATTTCAGGATTTTAAATGTGATATGTTTCCCCACAAGCCCCACATTTTCCAGAAGAGCTAGCTTGACACAAACTAAATTTTGCTCATGGGTGAAATGTAAAGAATTTATAATCAGCCGGGTGCAGTGGCTCACGCCTGTAATCCCGGCACTTTGGGAGGCTGAGGCGGGCGGATCATGAGGTCAGGAGATCGAGACCAGCCTGGCCAACATGGTGAAACACTGTCTCTACTAAAAATACAAAAATTAGCTGGGTGTGGTGGCATATGCCTGTAATCCCAGCTACTCAGGAGGCTGAGGCAGGAGAACTGCTTGAACCGAGGAGGTGGAGGTTGCGGTGAGCCAAGATTATGCCATTGCACTCCAGCCTGGGCAACAAGAGTGAAACTCTGTCTCAGAAAAAAAAAAAAAAAAAAGAATTTATAATCAAGCAGCTTCCTCCCCTCCCCAATGCCCTGCCACTGATCCCTTATGAACATTATTTAGGAAGACCCTTTGCCTCTACTTGTTTTTTAAAAAGTGAAATAACAGAAAGTGAAGAGGTTTTCTCAGGATGTTAGCAATTCTCCACTGTTAAGCAGGTCTTCTCTAGGTTTACAACAGAAATAGCTAAGGAGGCAGAGCTCACACCTACTTTGTCTATCTTTCTAATACTGAACAAAACCTTTACTCAATTTTGCTGCTTTCTAATGATTCTGTCCTATTTCTACTCTTTTTTGGCAAACTCCTCTAGCAAATTATCTGCGCAGTTATCGTCACCTCTTAATGTCAAATAACAAATAATTTGGTTTTAGTCTCTATTGAAATATAATTAAGGGCCATTATCTACTCCTGAATAGCCACATTAAAATGCCTCTTCTCAGTCTTTACTGAGTTCCCTATTGAGTTTGTTATTGCAAACCACTCTATTAAGGAATGGTTTTTCTTCTCTTTATAATTAAAGAAAATTACATGAACAGTATAGCAACATTAATACAGCTCTAGATAAAAGACAGAAAAAGTCACCCACAATGTCACTACCCATCCAAAAGTAAACATTTTTTAAAAGTTGTTGTTGTTGTTTGAGACAGAGTTTCGTCTTGTTGCCCAGGCTGGAGTGCAGTGGCGCAATCTCTGCTTACCACAACCTCCATCTCCTGGGTTAAAGCGATTCTCCTGCCTCAGCCTCCTGAATACCTGGGATTACAGGCATGTGCCACCACACCTGGCTAATTTTGTATTTTTAGTAGCGACAGAGCTTCTCCAACTTGGTCAGGCTGGTCTCAAACTCCTGACCTCAGGTGATCCGCCCTCCTCGGCCTCCCAAAGTGCTAGGATTACAGGCATGAGCCACCGCGCCTGGCCAAAAAATTATGTTTATAGGACACTAGTGGCTGGGTGCGGTGGCTTAGCCTGGCCAGCATGGTGAAACCCTGTCTCTACTTAAAATACAAAAACTTAGTCAGGCATGGTGGCGTGCACCTGTAATCCCAGCTACTCAGAAGGCTGAGGCAGGAGAATTGCTTGAACCTGGGAGGCAGAGGTGGCAGTGAGCCGTGATCGTGCCACTGTACTCCAGCCTGGGCGACAGAGTGAGACTCCATCTAAAAAAAAAAATTCTTCACATTTCACCCATGAGCAAAATCTAGTTTGTGTTAAGCTAGCTCTTCTGGAAAATGTGGGGCTGGTGGGGAAATGTATTATATTTAAAATCCTGAAATCAGGCCGAGCACAGTGGCTCACGCCCAGGTAGGTGGATCACCTGAGGTTAGGAGTTTGAGACCAGCCTGACCAACATAGTGAAACCCTGTCTCTATTAAAAATACAAAATTAGGCCGGGCGCGGTGGCTCACGCCTGTAATCCCAGCGCTTTGGGAAGCCAAAGCAGATGGATCACCTGAGTTCGGGAGTTCGGGACCAGCCTGACCAACATGAAGAAACCCCATCTGTACTAAAAATACAAAAATCAGCCGGGCATGGTGGCGCATGCCTGTCATCCTAGCTACTCGGGAAGCTGAGGCAGGAGAATCGCTTGAACCTGGGAGGCAGAGGTTGCGGTGAGCTGAGATCATGCCATTGCACTCTAGCCTGGGCAACAAGAGGGAAACTCCGTATCAAAACAAAAAGGCTGAGTGTGGTGGCACATGCCTGTAATCCCAGCTATTTGAGAGGCTGAGGCAGGAGAATCGCTTGAACCCAGGAGGCAGAGGTTGCAGTGAGCTGAGATCGCGCCTTTGCACTCCAGCCTGGGCAACAAGAATGAGACTCCATCTCAAAATAAAATAAATAAATAAAATAAAATCCTGAAATCAGTTAAGCCTTAGTGAGGGTCTCTTAGGGCCTCCCCAGATGGGCGTATGTTTTCAGGAAGAAAGTAGAGAGAACAAAAATGACAAGGGGGCCGGGCACGGGGGCTCATGCCTGTAATCCTAGCATTTTGGGAGGCCGAGACGGGTGGATCACCTGAGGTCAGGAGTTCAAGACCATCCTGGCCAACGTGGTAAAACCCCATCTCTACTAAAAATACAAAAATTAGCTGAGCATGGTGGCATGCACCTGTAATCCCAGCTACTTGGGAGGCTGAGGCACGAGAATTGCTTGAACCGTGGAGGTGGAGGTTGCAGTGAACCAAGATTGCACCATTGCACTCCAGCCTGGGCGACAGAGCGAGACTCCGTCTCAAAAAAAAAAGACAAGGGAAAATAATGATTAGGTTGATGAACAGAAAGGCCCTTAGGCAAAATTATGCTTTTCCTATGTAGTTCTGGAAGTAATGTCCTCCTCTTAGTTTAGCAGAAAGGATTACCTCTCACTGGCAGAATTTCTTGCTAGGTAGAAAGGGAAGGTAGAAGCAAGCCAGTGGAGATGTATTTTTACAATGCATTGGATCTTTCCGCACTTCTCAGATCACACTATGTAAAGAGTACCCTCTTCCAACACATAGAACACTCTTTATTTAGGCCAAATCAAGATTTCTGGATACTCTATAATGGTCAGGCTGGATAAACGGTTAGGGAGGGAAGGAAAGGGACTTTTCACATCATATCTGTTATATCTTTTAAATTTTGTATTATGATCATGTGTCATTTATTGAAACAGTAAGTTGTTACTTTAAAGACTCAATTAAGGCTGAGTAGTGAAATTTAAGATTTAGTTTTTTGGTCAGCATAGCCTCCAGTATTTATTTCTTTCCTTGCCCAACTTGTTCATCCGCTTTGTGATTTTGTACTGTGGAGTTTTAGTTTAGAGACCTCTCCCTGCAAGTGATACCCCCAACCGAAGTTATCAAATCTAATCTAAACAGATCAATTTATGCGTGACATTTCATTTTCTTCCATAAGCTCTGTTTCCCACCAGCAAACAAAACATCTTGTTAAAACAGAGACTGTCCACTTCAAGCTTCAGATGAGAATTACAGTCAGATTCCAGCCCTGCTATTTACTAGCTACGTGACCTTCTGCAGGGCATGTTACCGCTCTGGGATTGGGTTTCCTCATGTGGGGCTGTAGAAGGTGCACTCAATTTACTAGATAGAGGTCAAAGGATGTACTTCAACTTCTGGCTCTGCCACTTTGTTGCTGTGCGACCTTGGACATGCTGCTTGGCCTGTAAGCTTCCGTTTCTATAAAATAGGGATAACGCTTCCTTCCAGGGAGGTTTTGAAAGTGGGATGAGGGATCTAAGATGCCTAGGACACATGAGTGCTTAAGCCATGTTAGTGTCTTCTCCTTTCTCTTCACCTGTTTCTTTCTGGGCTGTTTTTGTTTGTTTGCTTTTACTTTATAAAATAAGAACAGTGAACTACCTATTATGCAGATCTCCTGCCTTTCATAATGCTTTATAAACTGTGAAGCAGAAAGCAGAATGTGTGGTTGTTTGGGCACCAGGAGGACAAAGGTCCCCAGGCTTTGAATTTCTCTGACCTCTCTAAATTGTGTTTGAATTCCAGAGAAGAGCTCTGTTTTTCTAGGTGAGAATTAGGCAAGCTTTTCCTGGAGCTCACCCCAGTCAGCACCCTGAGGGCTGAGGGCTGAGGGCTGAGGGCTTCCCTTCCACAAGACCTCCCTGTCTTTGTGAGGCTCAGCATCACAAAGCCACCTGGGGAGTCAAGGGTAGGTATTGTTCTTCAGAGACACCTGGATGCTGGCTCACTCCCTGAGGAGGAGGGAAAGCTGCTCTGGCCTTTGAAACATTGTATTGAAAACTCACACACAGAAGCCAAAACTGACAAGGATGATAAGCTGCTAATATGCTAATAATAATAATAATGAACTATGCCTGTTCTTCACATACTGTGCTCTGAGAGAGGTTAAAATGCCTTTAGGCCAGTACTTTGATTTTTTTTTTTTTTTTGAGATGAAGTCTCAAAAAAGCTCCGTCACCCAGGCTGGAGTGCAGTGGCATGATTTCGGCTCACTGCAACCTCCGCCTCCCAGGTTCAAGCGATTCTCCCACGTCAGCCTCCCGAGTAGCTGGGACTACAAGCACACGCCACCATGCCTGGCTAATTTTTTGTATTTTTAGTAGAGATGGGGTTTCACCATGTTGGCCAGGCTGGTCTCCAACTCCTGACCTCAGGTGATGCACCTGCCTCGGCCTTCCAAAGTGCTAGGATTACAGGCACAAGCCACAGTGCCCGGCTAGGTAGAAGTTTAGAAGAGTTCATTAAGACTCTGCCACTCGGTGGATTTGTAACATGTATTAAACATTAACCCTCTCTGGGCCTGAGTTTCTCTATCTTAAGATGAGGAAAATTGGTGAAATAATACCTAACACACTTCCTAGCTCTAACTAACTTTGCTAGGCCAGATGCTTACAAATTGAAATTCTTTGATGTCAACCCTGTCTTATTCCTTGGACAAAGGGGAAGAGAAGAAAGGTCTTAGTTTTTACAACGCAACCAGCATGTATCAGGCATTATATGAGGGACTTTATGTACACTAATGTATACACTGATTTCTAGCACAGCATTGCTTTGTTAATTTGACAAATGATCTTCTAAAAGGGTGGGCACGTGTGCCAAGGGTACTATCACAAGGTTCTCTAATTTTAATCTTATCAAGGAAACAAGTAATCAAAAGACAGAAATGGGAGGCAGAATTAGTACATAATTTTAAATTTGCATTGGTGTGATACTATACTAGACACTGGAAATAAGGTAATCACAGTTAACCTACTAAACAGATATTTTACTTGATAGCAATAGAGAATACATAATATGTCTAAATCAAGTATCCTGTATAAATCACAGGTGAGCTATTTCTCAACACATTATTTGTTTCCTTCCTTCTCTACTTAAAAAAATTATACACATAATTCATAAATCATTCTCATTATAAAAGGGTCAACAACATAGAGCAAAGACTTAGGGGTCATTCTCTACTCAGCCTTCCTTTCAGCCCCCAGCCCCTTACCTCACTCTCTCACCACCCAATCCCCTTAACAGAGAACCACAATGATGTATATTCCAAGTCACTTTCAAGTTAAATTTCATTATTGGTATCCTTACATTTTCCTTTAAGAAAAAAGAAACTCTGGGCCAGGTGCGGTGGCTCACGCCTGTAATCCCAACACTTTGGGAGGCCGAGGAGGCTGGATCACGAGGTCAAGAGATTGAGACCATCCTGGCCAACATAGTGAAACCCCATCTCTACTAAAAATACAAAAATTAGCTGGGCGTGGTGGTGCACACTGTAGTCCCAGCTACTCGGGAGGCTGACACAGGAGAATTGCTCGAACCCAGGAGGCAGAGGTTGCAGTGAGCCGAGATCTCGACACTGCACTCCATCCTGGCAACAGAGCGAGACTCCGTCTCAAAAAAAAAAAAAAAAGAAAAACTCTGAAAAGGGTAAGGAGGAAGTGGGATTCAGTAACCTACAAAGCATTTAGGCAGGACGCTTTTCAAAATGCAGTTGGCAGAAATGGAAGTTGAACTGAGTG